>NC_000021.9:46084399-46238295 GCF_000001405.40 Homo sapiens
TGAACCCTCCTGCCGTCCTGGGGGCTGCGGGAGGGGCTACCAGCCAGACGAGGGCTGACCCGGGAGGCGAGTACAGTGGTGCCGGGGAGGGTCAGGGGTCTCGGTGAGAATTGCGAATGGTCAAACCCAGAGGTTGCACCCGAGGCCAGGTCCAGAGGGGAGCCCAGGCCACCCTGAGGGACAGGTCCCTGGGTGGGGCGGGAGCCGGAAAAGGAGGAACACACTGGAATGCGTCCCAGGTTCTCCATCAAGCTGACGTTGGCATCAGGGTAAATGTACAATTCTAATAATGTGAGAATAAGGCTCATTAGAGGTAGATATTGGGTTTTGTTAAAAGGTATTTCCAGCCTGTCTTAAACCAATCACAGGACTTCTCTCCTCTTGTGTCCATCAAGGACACTTAGGTGCCTCCAGGTTTGGCTGTGTGTGGTTTCACACCATCATGCCAGCTGGCACGCGCGTGCACCCAGTGGTGCTGACACCTCCACAGTGAGCCAGGGAAACCTGCCTGCGGCTGCCACCGCCCCAACCCTGGTATCCTGGGAGGTTCCTCACGGGCAGCTCGCCCGACCCAGGTGCAGTGAAGAGTCCCCTGTGACTGAGGAGGAGCAGTGACACAGCCAGGGCACAGTGTGATTCCAGGACTCCCGGACCCCACCCCTGTGACCGAGGAGGAGCAGTGACACAGCCAGGACACAGTGAGACTCCAGGACTCCCCGACCCTGCCCCTGTGACAGAGGAGGAGCAGTGACACAGCCAGGACACGGTGTGACTCCAGGACCCTGCCCCTGTGACCGAGGAGGAGCAGTGACACAGCCAGGGCATAGTGTGACTCCAGGACCCTGCCCCTGTGACCGAGGAGGAGCAGTGACACAGCCAGGACACAGTGTGACTCCAGGACTCCCGGACCCTGCCCCTGTGACCGAGGAGGAGCAGTGACACAGCCAGGACACAGTGAGACTCCAGGACTCCCCGACCCTGCCCCTGTGACAGAGGAGGAGCAGTGACACAGCCAGGGCATAGGGTGACTCCAGGACCCTGCCCCTGTGACCGAGGAGGAGCAGTGACACAGCCAGGGCACAGTGTGACTCCAGGACCCTGCCCCTGTGACTGAGGAGGAGCAGTGACACAGCCAGGGCACAGTGTGACTCCAGGACTCCCGGACCCTGCCCCTGTGACTGAGGAGGAGCAGTGACACAGCCAGGGCATAGTGTGACTCCAGGACCCTGCCCCTGTGACTGAGGAGGAGCAGTGACACAGCCAGGGCACAGTGTGACTCCAGGACTCCCGGACCCTGCCCCTGTGACTGAGGAGGAGCAGTGACACAGCCAGGGCATAGTGTGACTCCAGGACTCCAGGACCCTCCCCCTGTGACAGAGGAGGAGCAGTGACACAGCCAGGGCACAGTGTGACTCCAGGACCCTGCCCCTGTGACTGATCGCCTGGGTGCTTTTGCCCCACCATCCTGACCACTGTCATCATGGACCAGTCAGTGGCACTGCTATCCTCAGACAGGCTGGCCTGGGCTGAATGGTGGCCTTCAAACTTGGTCATCATCCCAAATAAAATGACAGGCCCAGCCACACAACACTGAAATAGAAAACAGGCAAACAATAGAGACAATCAACACAACAAAAAGCTGACTCTGAAAAGATCAATAAATTTGATACAACTCTACCTATACTGATTTTTTAAAAGAGAGAAGTGACAAATTATTAACATGAGAAATGAAATAGGAAACATCACTACAGATCTGACAGACATTAAAAGGACAATAAAGAAATATGATGACCAACTTTATGCCAATAAATTTAGACAACTTATATAAAATAAACAGATTCCTTGAAATATATAAATTATCTAAATTAACTCAAAAATATTCCTATAGTTATTAAGAAAATTGTGTGAGAGGTCTTCACTGGAGAATTATATCAAACATTTAAGAAAGAAGTAACACCAATTCTGAATAAACTCTTTCAGAATATAGAAGGGAAGGTAACATTTCAAAATTTATTTGATGAGACCAAAATCATCCTGATACCCAAACCAGAAAAGAAAAACACAGACCAACATCTCAAATGAACATAAACACAAAATTCCTTAACAAAGCATTAGCAAATTGAACCTGCCAATTTATATAAAGGATACTATACCATAGCTAACTGTGCTTATGCAATTTTGGCTTAAGATTTTTTAAATCAAACAATATAATTTACTATAATAGCAGAATAGAGGTGATGAACAATTTGATCACCTCAATAAATGCAGAAAGTATATTTGACAAAATGCAATGCCTGTTTGTGAAAGTACTCTAAGAAAACTAGAAATTGAAGTTAACTTTCTCTAAAATAAAAACTAAAAAAAAAAGAAGTTAACTTTCTCAACATAATAAAGAGCATCATCACCAACAACCACCAAAGCTACCCTATAGTTAATACCATATTTCTGTGAAAGACAGTGGACTTTCTCTCTAAATTCAGGACTATGTTAAGGACATCCATTCTCACCACTGCTATTTGACATTGTACTGGAGGTTTAACTAGCGGATAAAGGCAAGAAAAAGAAATAAAGGTATACATATTGGAAAGAAGAGGTGTATTGGTCTGTTCTCATGCTGCTGTAGAGAACTGCCCAAGACTGGGTAACTTATAAAGGAAAGAGGCTTAATTGACTCATAGTTTAACATGGCTGGGGAGGCCTCAGGAAACTTACAATCATGGCAGAAAGGGAAGCCAACATGTCCTTCTTCACATGGTGGCAGGGAGAGAGAAGTGCAGAGTGAAAGGGGGAAAAGCCCCTTATAAAACCATCATATCTTGTGAGAACTCACCCACTATCATGAGAACAGCATGGGGGCACCACCCCCATGATCTAATCACCCCCCCACAAGATCCCTCCCCCAACATGTGGGGATTACAATTCGGATTACAATTCAAGACTAAATTTGGGTGGGGACACAGAGCCAGACTACATCATGAGGTAATATTGTCTGTATTCACAGAGGATATTATTTTGTGCTTAGAAAATTCTACAGAATTTATTTAAAAAGCTGCAAGAACCGATAAGTGAATTTGACAAGGCACAGGATCAATGAACAAAAATTAATTATAAGGCCAGGACTTCTGGAATGGTGGAGTGAGAACCTCCATAAATCCAGTTTTCCTTAAAAGCAAAGAAATTACTAGAAAAAGTATCAAAATATTCTTTTTCAGAGCTCTACAGATTAACCAAAGTATTGCAACAACCTGAAAAGCATTTATTCCAGAAAAAAATACTGTACCTTGGTAAGAATTAACTACTGACACATAGCCTATCATAAATGAACCTCAAAAACATTATGCTAAATGAAAGAAGCCAGACACAAGAGACCACATAATGTATGATTCCATATGATTCCATTTACATGAAACATCCAGAAAAGGCAAATCTATAGAGAGAAAGCAGATTAGTGGTTTCCTGGGGTGGAGGGTATGAAAGGGTATTAACGATAAATGAGCATAAGAAGTCTTATTGGGGTGATGAAAACTTTCTAAAGCTGATTTATGATTATGATTATACCATTTGGTAAATTTGCCAAAAATTATTGAATTGCATACTCATACTTGAATAGGGTGAATTTTATGTTATGTAAAATATACCTGAATAAACCTATTTTGGAAAGAAAAACAAACTAAGCATACTCTTTGCCAGTTTCTCAGTGCTAGGGAGAAAACACCTAGAATTTAGGGCCCTCGAAGGAACAGAACCCTCAGCAAATACCTTAGACTCTCAGCTGGTCCCTTGGAAAGTTAGGCTCTAGGATTAGGGGAAAACTGGTGATATATCAGTATTCACAAAGACATAAACTTAGATTTGAACTACATCCAACTGTGATTGGAAAAAGGTGACCTGTCCCTACACCAACTGTCCACCAAAATAACACTAAATCCTATAAAAAGTAAGATAACATTAAACAGAGCTTCTACAATATTTCATACACAATGTCCAGCACTTAATCAAAAATAACCCAGCAAGAAAAGAGACAGGACCGTATGCCTGTATGGGGGAAAAAACAAACAAGAGAAACAGATCCATGGGTGGCCTTGATTTGGGAGTTATCAGACATGAACTTTAAAATAAGTATGATTCATGAGACATTAGAAGATGAGATAGTTGCGTTAAAAAAAGTAATTGACACTGAAGATAAAACAGAAATTCTAAAAGTAAAAAATGCAATAATTAATGTTAAAAGCTCAATGGATAGGATTAATAGCAGATTAGACATAACAGAAAAGAGAATAAGTTAATTTGAAAATAGGTCAAAAGGAAATGGGCAGACTGAAGGACAAAGACAGATAATATAGAAAAGCATATAAGAGATGCATGGAAGATGATGAAAGGCTCTAACCTGTGAAATTTAAGGCCCAGGAGGAAAATAAAGACAGAAAGGGGCAGAGGCAATATCTGAAGAGATCATAACCAAGAACTTTTCTAAAACTGATAAAAAATATCTTACCACAGATTCAAAAAAGAAAATCTACACATAAAGGACATCGTTCCTAGGTACATCATAAAACTGCTGTAAACCAAAGACGATAAGAAAACCTTGAAAGAATCCAGAGGAAAAAAGCACATTTTATTTAAAGAAACAACAGAAAGATAGATTTTTTTCCACAAATCTGAAAGCCAGAAGATAATGGAATGTCATCTTCAGAGTATCAAAAGAAAATAACTGCTAAGTTGGAATTCTTACCTAGGGAAATATCTTTCAAAACTGAAGGTTAAATAAAAGGCTGTTGAAACAAATGAAAACTAAGGAAATGTGTTGCTAACAGACCCACACTAGGCAGTCTCTAAAATAGCCTGCAGCAATCCTGCCTCCTGGTATTCCTGACCTTGTATAATCCCCTCCACCTGAGCACAGGCTGGACCTAGTGACTGACTGCTAACAAACAGATTACGGCAAAAGTGATGAGATGTAATTCGAAGACTAGCCTACAAAAAGTTGTTTACTTCTGTCTTGCTGGGCCACCGTCTCATTCTCCTCTCTTGCCAGCTTTCTCTCTCACAGCTCCCACTCTAGGGCAATCAAGTTTCTGTATTGCACATAGGGAGCTGTGGTGAGAAGCTGGTGTCTCCAGCCAGCAGGGGCTGAGGACGGCCACAGTTGCGTGAGTGAGCATGGAAGTTATTCTCCCCCACTCCAGCCTTGCAGCAAGGGCTGGCAGGAGGCCTTTTACCCTGTATCCTTTTGTGCCTTTTGACTTTTGCACAGTGGCCATGCATTATCTTCCCCAAAATAAACAATAATGTCATAACTATTTAATGCCAATCACTAGTAAAAGGTAAAAATTAATAACAAAAAGGCAAAGAAAAGTAACTGTAAACATGCACCTAACAAAGAGGGCACTCTGCAGGTGAGCACATCCTTCTCCCATATCAGACGGAGGCCCTGCCTCCAAGATAGAAGATGGCAGTCACCCGGGACTTTCACCCTTTCTCCCTCAAGAGAGTTTGTCAGTGTTGGTGAGGAGTACATCCAGAGATTTACAACACCCTTATCCACCCATCACGAATATGTATGTCTTCAGCTACATGGCATGGCCTTTAAGATCAGAGGCTACATCTTTCTATGATCCAATCTCCTGAAATGGTCAGTGCTTGCCTTTAGGAGAGGATGGTGGGGATAGACAAAGGTTATGGGAATGGGAATGGGAAAAGGTGATAGTGTTGTTGTTGTTGGTGGTGGTGGTGGTGGTAGTAGACTGAAAAGAGTCACAAAATCTTTGCAGCTCTTCACATTGGGTGCTGGAGCCTACTTCTCCATTGCCTGAATCCTGGTTGGCCTTGTCACTTGCTTTGACCAATAAAATGTGGCAAAGTAATGTATTGTGACTTCTGGGCCCAGATATCAAGAATCTTTGCAGCTTCTGCTCTCATTCTCTTGGAATACTGACGCCATGTAAACAAGTCTGAGTTAGACTTCTAGAGAGGACACATGGAGGAGAACCAAGGCACCCTGGCCAAAACCCTACAAGACCTATAAGTAATGCCATCTTAGATCATTCAGCTTCCTCCAAGCCTTCAGCTGATGGGCACCACATAATGAGTTCAGATGCAACCATCAGAAGAGCTGCCCAGCAGAGCCCAGTCCAAAGTGTCAACCCACAAAAAAACAGCAAATTAAATGGGTGATTTTTTAAGCCATTAAGTGTTAGAATGGTTTGCTATGGAGAAATGGATAACTGATTCAGATTGTGATACGGATGGTGGTGACAGTAAGGGTGAGGGTAATGGTGATAGCAGTAGTAGTAGTGACAGTAGTGGGGAGGTCTTGGTGATGGTGATGATGATGGCAATGGTGATAATGGTGATGGGGTGATGGTGTGGTGGTGGTGATGGTGGTGGTGATGGTGGTGGTGGTGATAGCAGTAGTAGTAGTGACAGTAGTGGGGAGGTCTTGGTGATGGTGATGATGATGGCAATGGTGATAATGGTGATGGGGTGATGGTGTGGTGGTGGTGATGGTGGTGGTGATGGTGGTGGTGGTTGTGGTGGTGGTGGTGGTGGTGGTGATGGTGGTGATGGTGGTGGTGATGGTGGTGATGGTGGTGGTGATGGTGGTGGTGATGGTGGTGGTGATGGTGGTGGTGATGATGGTGATGGTGGTGATGGTGGTGGTGGTGGTGATGATGGTGGTGATGATGATGGTGATGGTGGTGATGGTGATGGTGGTGGTGGTGATGGTGGTGGTGATGGTGGTGGTGATGGTGGTGGTGATGGTGGTGGTGGTGATCGTGGTGGTAGTAGTGGTGGTGGTGATGGTGGTGATGGTGGTGGTGGTGATGTGGCCGTGGTGATGGTGTTGGTGGCGGTGGTGATGGTGGTGATGGTGATGATGGTGGTGATGATGGTGAAGGTGGTGATGGTGGTGGTAGTAGTGGTGATGGTGGTGATGGTAATGATGGTGGTGGTGGTAATGGTGGTGGTGATGGTGATGGTGATGATAATGGTGATGATAATGGTGATGGTGGTGGTGGTGATGATAATGGTGATGGTGGTGGTGGCGGTGATGGTGGTGGTGGTGGTGATGGCAATGATGGTGATGGTGGTGGTGGTGGAGATAACCATGGGATTACTGGTGGCAGTGTCAACTCTGGACTCCCTAAGTCATCAGAGAAAAACTGAATTTTCCTTCATGTGGATTTTGTGTGTTTTGTTGTGTTCCAGTTCTTTGAAACTATGCATTACCTTTGGAGTTACATGTACCTATTTCCAATTAAATCTCTGGGCCCTCTTCTCAGGAAAATAGAGTTTTTTTCAGACTTTGGGGACTTGTGGCACTACACTCTGGGTTGGACCTGCGGTGAGAAGCCCTGTGCTATGCTTACCTGACATTCTCATGTCACAAACAGGTCGTGCCGGCTGCTGAAGTATTTGTCAGTGTGGCTGTCCTGCGCCAGCAGGGAACTGAGTTGTGTGACATTCACGTGGCCCCTTCAGTTAGCACCGCACGGTTGGTTAAGAGGAGGGTTTTATTCAGGCATAAATATTTTGAAATATTTGTAATCAAATCCCACGTAGTATAGACAACCTCCCAGATGGTGGAGGGGAAACACACCACCCCCCTGACTGGGAGAGAAAAGACCGCGGTTTTCTTTCCTGCCACTTGTCCTCCTCCGGGAGCCTCGGTCTCCTCTCTGTGGGACAGGGCAGCCTCCCCTGGCTCCTCCTGGTGCAGGATCGATGAGGCTCTTGCCCACAGCCTTTGTCCCCCGACTTCCTACCACCTGGTGTCCTCACCCCATCTGGGCCCCGAGCACACAGCCTCTGGTCCTGGTTTCCACTGAAAATGTAAACTATGGTCCACGCCACATTCTCCAGTACTCCTGTGCTATTGTGAAAGTAAAAGACAAAAATACACGTGCTTGGCAGCCCGAGAGCCTGGGTGAGATTATTGAGAATAATGCGGTGGCTCTGGCTTAAAAAATAAAAGCCGGAGGATCTACCACCAGCTCTGAACACACACCCGTGACACAAACTGACTCATGTGCAATTGCCCATTAGTGGCAGGTCTTGCCATTTTTCGTTTTTTTCTGAGTCGAGATCAGCTGCGGCTGGGGAGAACATTAGTTCTGTCTGTCGGCTCCATGAGTAAGCAGAGGAAAGTCTGACTACAGAGGCATCTTCTCAAATGTCCATGAAAGGCTGCAAGCCCGAGAGTAACGCCCCTGCTGCCCTGAGTGGTCCACGTGGTGTCCAGAGTGTGAGAAAGCCACAGAGAGCTTTTCCACACGGAGCCACTTAAGGCCTGCCTCAGCCTGAGAACACTTGGGCAGAAAAGGACAGCACGGCTTCCTCCTCCTCCAGGCCGGGCCTACAAGCACCCACAGTTCCGACAGAGAAAGTCTCTTCTTAATGGTACGCATGTGTCTTACTGTAGCTCCCAGTTAGTCCCCTAAGCGTGAACCACCACCCACCCATGCTGCTCCCCTCCCACCATCTCTCCATAAACAGGACCCAACGCAGCCAAAAACTCATGGTCATGTGACCTTGGCATCAGCTTGCTCGTTAGGAACCGTGCCTGGAGGTGCTCTGAGCACTGACTGCCAACCTCAGCAGGGCCCTTTGTGGTGTTGAGGTGTGGTGTCCGCAGGGCAGCCTGCAGCCTGCTGGGGTCCAGCCTGGGGCCTCAGGTCCTGGGAACCCTGGTTGAGGCTGGGCTGCCTCAGTGCCCCTCCGCAGCCTGCTGCACCCAAGCACTCTGAGAAAAGGAGCAATCACCCAACTTCAGTCTGAAAATGAGAATGTTGAGAAGGGCATGATGAGGGGAAGCAGACCAGAGCCCACCGGCAAGGGTAGAACGTCAGCCCCGCCCTAGTGGGACAGACAAGAGAGAAGCCTCCTCACACCAGGAGGCAGTATAGCCGGAGCCTTCCCTCCAGGGCTCTCAGGAGAGCCTGTGCTGGTTCATGAAAAAGTGAGGCCTCTGGGCTTTGCTGCTGCAGAGTGAGGTCAGAGCCCACAGGCCCCACAGATCATCCTGCCTGACAAGCACAGGAGGCACCACTGCTTGAATTCAGAGGGCAGCTCCGAGGGTCCTAGGTCCCCTGTGAATCTCCACAGAATCCTGGGACCTCAGAGCCTGCATCAGTTGGTCCCCCATGCAGGGACTTAGTGACTCTGCAGCCCCAGTCAGGGCCTGCTCTGTGCCAGGCATTGCTCTGCAGACCCAAAGGGACTCCAGGCCAGTCCTCATCCTCAGGGCCCACAGTGTAACACAGAGGCCGTGCCGCAGGCTCTGCTCCTCTGCCAGCAAGCTGTGCAGTCTTGGGCAGGTTACTTCAGTGCTCTGGTCTCAGCTTCCTCTGCAAGTGGTGGCAGGGCTGTGCTGGAGGCATGAGAGGGGTGTGGGAGCTGCAGGCTCTGGCAGGTGGCACGCTGGGGTTCTTGGAGAGGGGTGTGTGGCTGCCAGGGGACTACTGCTGTCATTGCCATCTGCAGAGACAAACAGAAACCCAACACGGCAGCCATCACTGGGGCCCCTTCATGGGAGGGATAGGGTGGAAATTGCAGGTCCCAGCAAGGCCTCAAAGCAAGTGCCCAGCCTCCCCTGATCAGTCCAACCTGAAGCCAGGTCCTGGTGTGCACAGAGATGCACGGCTGGGCTGCCCCACCTGCTTGGGCCACAGGAAGCATTTCTCTAAAGGTGAGCAGCTTCCTCTGCAGGTGACACGGCCTCCACCCAAACCCAGAGGCTCTGGCTCTCCCACTGCGGCTTGCCGCAGCCCCACACTTGCCTGCTCCCACACTGACACCTCCAACACCACAGGGGCTGCTGGGTCACGTGGCCCAGATGGCAGGGCTGCTCAGACAGTCATTTTCTGCTCCTGGCCGCCTCGAAGCTGGCAGCCTCCATGTCAGCCAAGCCGTGGGTCAGAGCAGTGCCCCCAGGAATTAAATATGTTGCCTTCAGAACCCAAAAAGGCCTGTCAGGCCCTGTGCTTCCTCCTTTGAAGTAGGGGATGCAAGATGTAGCAATTTCTCTTTTACTTTAGAGGATGTCCTGGTATGAACCTGATCACTGGTGCCCTAAAAACTTCCATGAAGTTAGGTCCCTGAATCCTCGGAGTTCACCTCCCACCCACAGATGCAAATGTGTCTCATAAGGCCTCTAGCTCATGACCCTCCTGTTCCTCCTCCTGCCCATTATGTCGTCACTGTAATGGATCAGTGTGGTGTCCGGTGCACTGCTCAGGTGCCCAGATCTTTTCAGGCAATATTAGGACAGAGGACAGAGTTAGCGTGGCCCTGCACTAAACTGGGAATGAGTATTGTTGTTCCTCCCATGTAAATGCAAACTGTTTCCGATCCTCTTTTCTAATTGGAATAGAAAAGAATGCAATGGCCAATCACTGGCCTCATTAATCTGCTACGATGATACGTCTGACACAGCAGATGCAACTGGAGCTACTACCGGGTTCAGGCTAAGTGGTCTGGCGTCACTTTCTAGGATCCATCAGTCTTTGCAATGACCAGGCCAGAGAATTAGACACGACAGTCCACCACCCTCGCCTCCGTGAGGCCTTTAACGGTGGTGCCATCCTCCCAGGATGCAACGTGGTTTGTGATTTACTCTCTTGGCCATGGAAAGGGGACTTCCCCACTATGATGTCTGTCACCACACAGGCCTGGGATCCAATATATGGCTACTCCAGCCACCAAGTACATAAATTATAATTACATACTCAGGGGGCAGGGAAGCGGCCACTGGATGGTCTTCTGGCCCAGGGGTCTCACTGTGCCCAACACTTTAGCCAGGATTCCTTTTTATTACCTGGCCCCGTCAGCCCCTTCTCTAACAGGGAGGCCACAGCGACACTTTTGGCCTCCAGTATCAAGGTCCACTCACATCCCGCGTCCATTTGTCCTCAAAATCTCTGGATTTTCCCAGCGTGCAGCCAGCTGAGTGAGTGACAGCGGGATTCTACAGAACATCCTTGTCAAGGTATTGCCTGGTCCTTCCTTCTGGTGACCTGGCCACCTCTGCAATCAATGGTTCCAGACAGGAAATTAGCTCAAGTCCAGGAATGGAGTAGGGAACCACGATATTTTACTGGAGTCCCCGCCCTCGGCCTCTTTCTTCCTTCCTCTGCCGTCCGCCAGGGCGGCTTGGCTCAACATGACCCATCGCTTTCTCCAGGCTTCTGGGAGCCATCCCAGAATCATCTTTGACCCACGACCTGCAGAACTTGCCAGGTAACTAATCCTATGTGCCAAGCAAGTGCCTCCGCCTCAATAGTTCTTCTGTCCCCCTGGATAAAGCACCCTGGAAATCTAATACCGGGGGTGTTCCCTGGCTCCTGCAGGCACATGCTGGCTGCCTCGTGCAGTTCCTGGACATGCAACCTCTCTACTCCCTGGTCAGGCCTAGCAGGTCCCCATCCAGGTTACCCTGGACTTTCTCCCTAGTCACTGCTGGCAGCCAAGAGACAAGGTGGAGCAGCCCCCAGTGAGGGCACCTGCTGCTCTGGTAGGGGAGGCCCCTGGAGCATCTTCCAGCACAGAGGAAGTGCTGGCTTCCAAGGGCAGGAGGGGCCCCTCTGCAAGCTCTGAGGGGACAGGGGTCTGCAGGGCCATGCCCTCAGGGCTTCCACCTGGATGTCTCAGCCCATGTTTCAGGGTCCCAGATTTTCCCAACCGGGGTCCAGACCTTCACATAGGCCAGCCGTGGCCAGGCATCAAAACATGCCTAGAGCTAGGTGGTCCCCACAGTCACTGTCGGCTCCTCAGCCATACTGGTTCTACCTCTGCCAAACATGGGACTCCTTTTCAGCAACCAGAGAGGCCCTTTGTTCTCACACCAAGCCTGATGGGCAACCGTGGGTAACGTCGCAATCTCCATTCATCCCTCTGTGGAGCATCAACCCCACTCCCCCCATGCACTGAAAGGGGGAAACTGCCACACCCACAAGGCCTCCCCTTCCACCAGGAAAACGTCCCAGATCACTCTTGGTGAAAACATTTAACAATTGGGGCCCTAACTTTGTGCCAAAGATTACCCATATCCCCACATCAACCAGAATGGTGTCCTCGGTGTTGGCCGGGAAACGGCCACCGCACCAGCTGAGTCTCAGGCCCCTCCTGCACCACTTGTGTTAATTGGGGTCTTCCAAGAGGCAGGTGCCATGGAAGCTCTGACGTGACTGGAGATTTATCAGTGCAATGTCTGTGAAGGATGCTGGGGGGGTGGCCAAAGAGGACGGAAGCCTCAGACCACAGGTGAGACCCCTGTGAAGGAGATACGGGGAGCCTTGGCCAGCACGTGCCCCTAGACAGTGCTGGCCAGGCCGAGGGAGAACTTCTGGAGCCAAGGTAACCCCTAAAGGATTCTGGTCTTGTGAGGAGGGGCCTGGCTTCCCCCTGGGAGCTGCTGGCTTGGAAGCAGGAGGCATTGCCCAGGTGAGAGTTCGGCATGGACCCAGGGGAGTGGCACACGGTGCCCGCCGTCAGCTGTGCTCAGGAGCAGCAGGCAGGAGCCCTGGACTCATGGCTACCATGTGGCTGCCACACTCAGGCACACTTAGGCACATACACTCACACTCAGGCACACTTAGACACACACATTCACACTCAACCTCAGACGCAGACACACACCACACACTCACAGATGCACACAGTCTCAGACACAGACACACACCACACACAGATACACACACCACAGACTCAAACTCAGTCTCAGACACAGACACACACCACACACTCAGATGCACACACCACACACACTCAGTCTCAGACACACACACACACCACATTTGCAAACCTGCTCATCAGAAGAGGGACCTCGCCCCCAGCCGCTCCGCCACCTTCCAGGACAGCTCTGAAGGGAGCCCTGTCCCGGAGCCCAGGGACCTCTCCCCAACCCGGCTGCGCCTCACCTCAAGGAGGAACCCCGGCCCTGGCTGGGGGACTGTGACCAGGGTGGGGAGTGGGGACCCCAGACAGAGCCCTACCAGGGACCCCTGTCACTCTGTCCCCGGCTGGGCTCAGGTGGGGACCTCACGGTGGTCCCAGGGCCCAGCACCAAGCCCACCTGTGGTTTCCAGCGGGAAAGGGGTGGCAGGGGTGGCTCGCCGCATGCCCAGGCTCTGCCCCAACCTCCGCGCCCAGGCTCTGCTGTCCCTGCCCTCCCGGCTCCCCACCCTCAGGCCCCAGGAGCGGCAGTTTCTGCAGGAGCTCCTGACCCGGGGCCTCTCGCGGGAGGCCTGAGCAAGCCGGACACAGGACACGGGGTAGGGGAGGGGTCGGGGGGCTGATGGGGGGAACCCTGCACCCCCCAGGGCAGCTGCTACCAAGGGGCGAGTCCCAGGGCCCCCGTCGGCCCTGCGTGCGGGGCGCGGTCCCCAACACCCAGGGCCCCGGAGGCGGACACAGCCCCAGCCAGGTCGTCCGGGAAATGGGGCGGGGGCGACGGGCGGCCGGGCCCGGGACGCGAAGTCCGAGCAGCAGCGGGCAGGGGCTGGCGGGGGAGCTCGGCCCGGGCTGCAGGGGGGTCCCCACCCTCTCCACCTCCTCCAGCCTCCCGCCCTCGAGGGTCCCCGCTTCCCTCCCATCCCCCTCCCGTGCCCCCGGCCCCCTCCTCCCATCCGCGGGGCCGCAGCGCTTCCTGGCGGCGGGGCGGGTCAGGCCGGCGGGGCGGGGTATAAAGGGGGCGGCGCCGGCCGCGGTTCCCTCCCTGCTGCTTACTCGGCGCCCGCGCCTCGGGCCGTCGGGAGCGGAGCCTCCTCGGGACCAGGTGAGCGCCTCCCGGACCCCGCACCCTGGAAGCCGCTCGGCCCGCGGGGGGTGACCCCGAGTCCTGGGAAGGCGGCGGCGGCGGCTCCGTCCCTCGGGTCCCCGGGAAGGGGGACTCCAGCCCCAGGGACGGCGGGGGGCTCGGCGGGTTCGGGGCTCCTCCTCGCGGGGCTGGGGCCGCGCCTGCCCCTGTGGCTCCGCGTCTCTGGGTCCGACCCTCGGGCGCGCGACTTGGGGCCACCTCCCCGCGGCCTCCTCTGGGGCGGAGCCGGCCTGGGCGGGGTGGGGGGGTCCCTGTCTGCGCCCGAGCTCGGTGCTGGGACCCCCGCTCCCGAGACGACCCCGGCACCGCACGCCCCGCCAGGCCCCGCGTCTGCGAGCGGTTCGGGTCCGGCTCCGGCCCGCGGGGAAGACGCCCCGGCTGGCTGGGACCTCCGGGGGCGCAGGGCCTCTCCCCGGGCCGGACGGAAGGGGCGGCGGGGCGGGGGGAGGAGGGGCTTTCGGTGCCCGAGGGCGGGACTGGGCGGGGAGGGGACGCGGGTGGCCCCGACGCCCCATCGCTGCGCCCCTCCCGGCCTGGAGCCCACCAGGGCCCCGCCAGGCCCAGGAGAAGCTGCAGACGGAGGCGGCTCCCCAGGGCGGCGGGACCCGGGCTGACAGCGACCCGCAGCCCCTGCCGGGCCGCCCACACCCGCCCTGGGACTCCGCCGGGGCGCTGGTGGAACCGCTGGGCCTGGGTCTCCACTGCTGGCAACCGAACGGATCGGCCCTCTGTGGAGCCGCAGGTGTGCGGGCGAGCGGCGCCCATCCGGGCTGTGCCAGCAGAACCCCGGTGCCCGCGCCTAGGACGCCCCTGGAGAAGGGACCTTCCCTTTGGGGTCGGAACCCAGAAAGGAGGGGCCTGCGATCCGCGGAGCTCCTTGTTCTTGGGATAACACAGCTCTGGCTTGGAGGCCCCCTTGCACTTCGACTCTGGTGATTATTTCAAGAAAGGCCAGACCGGGCACGGTGGCTCACGCCTGTAATCCCAACACTTGGGGAGGCCGAGGCGGGCAGATCACCTGAGGTCAGGAGTTCGAGACCAGCCTGGCCAACAGGGTGAAACCCCGTCTCTACTAAAAATACAAAAAAAAATTAGCCGGGCGTGGTGGCAGGCACCTGTAATCCCAGCTAATCGGGAGGCTGAGGCAGGAGAAAATCACTTGAACCTGGGAGGCGGAGGCTGCAGTGAGCTGAGATCGCGCCACTGCACTCCAGCCTGGGTGAGGGAGCGAGACTGTCTCAAAAAAAAAAAAAAAAAAAAAAAAAAAGGAAAGAAAGGCCCGGTGAGATGCTTTCTCTTAAACACGGCCCTGCACGTTGAGTTGCTGCCTCCTGTGGCCTATTTCACGTTTATGCAAAGTCGGGCGCCTGATGCGGGGCTCACCCGCCACAAGCAGGGGTCCTGGTGCTGCTCATGGAAGGGGCCCTACCCAGCCCGCGGGGCACTGGCTGGGACGGGGCTGCCCAGGTCCGCCCAGGATCCAAACACCCAGCCCCGCCCAGCGGCCCTTCCTGGCCTGCAGTGGAGGCTGTAATGGGCAGGGGTGGTGGGAATCCCAGCTCACAGGGCGCCTGCTCTTAGAAGGGCGGCATCTGGGTCCAGAGGTCAGAAACGTCAGATGCCCATCCCAGAAGTGGCGGGGAACCTGTCTCCACAATGGATAGCAGCACTGTCTTTTTTTTTTTTTTTTTTTTTTTCTCATTTCATAGATAAGGAATGATGCCTTGTTGGGGGGTTTGTTCTGCATGTCTTTGGTTTTTGTGCAGTACAAGGCTATTTGGGCTGTTTGATCACTGACCGTGTGTAGTGATGTGCATTGCCTGGTTGTGATGTCCCCATGTTCCTAATGGATGTTCGCTTTTTGGGTTTTTTTGGTTTTTTGTTTGTTTGTTTGTTTTTTGAGACAGGGTCTTGCTCTGTCACCCAGGCTGGAGTGTGGTGGTGCTATCACTGCTCACTGCAATCTGCACATCCCTGGCTCAAGCGAGCCTCCACCTCAGCCTCCGAGTAGCGGGGACTACAGGCATGCACCACTGTGCCCAGCTAATTTTCTTTTAAGAGACGGGGTCTCACTATGTTGCCCAGGCCATGGATGTGTTTGTTTGTTTGTTTGTTTGGGGTGTTTGGGGGGTTTTTTCTTTTTTTATTGATTTGAAAAAGCTTTATTTTCCCGAATTTTTTATTGTGGTATACAATATAAAATGTACTGTCTTAACCATTTTTAAGTGTGCAGCTAGTTCAGCGACAGTAAGTACATTCATAGTGTTGTGTAGCCATCACCAAGGTCCATCTCCGGAACTCTTTTCCTCTTGTCAAACTGAAGCCCATGGAGCACCAACTCGCATCACCCCTTCCCTCCCCTGGCAGCCACCATCCTACTTTATGTTTCCAGGAATTTGGCCATTTAGGTGACTCATATGAGTGAAATCGTATGAAATGTCTCCTTTTGTGACTGGCTTATTTCACGTGGCTTAATGTCCTCCAGATTGATCCACACTGTAACGTATGTCAGCATTCCCTTCCTTTGTAAGGCTGAGCAGTATTCCACTGCATGCATGCCCTGCATTTTGTTTACCCATTCGTCTGTTGCTGGACACTTGTGTTGCTTCCACGTTTGAGCTACTGTGAATGATGTGGCCATGAACACACCACACAGATACCTCTTGGAGATCCCACTTTCACTTCTTTTGAGTATGTTCCCAGAAGTGGAAATGTGGATCATTTGATTTTTTCATTTTTTTGAGAATTAATTGCCTCACTGTTTCCCACGGTGGCTGCACCATTTTGCTTTCCTGCCAACAGTGCACAAGGGTCCAGTTTCTCCACATCTGCACCAACAGGTGTCATTTTCCGGGTTCGCTTGGTTTTTTTTAAATGTTAACCATCCTAATGGGTGTGAGGTGGTATCTCACTGTGGTTTTGACTTGCATTTCCCTCATGATTAGTGACGTTGAGCATCTTTTCATGTGCTTGTTGGCCATTTATATATCTCTTGGGAGAAATATCTGTTTAAGTCCTTGACCTATTTTTGAATCAAGTTGATTGTTTTTTGTTGTTGAATTTTAGGAGTTCTCTGTATATTCTGGATATTAATCCCTTATTAGATACACAGTTTACAGATATTTTCTCTCATTCTCTGGGTTCTTTTTACTCTGTTAATGATGTCCTTTCACTAGATAGATGCAAAAAATGTTTTTAAATTTTGGTGTAATCTGATTTATCTATTTTTTCTTATTGTCATACCCAAGAAATCATTGCTCAGTCCCATGTCACGAAGGTGTTACCTTATGTTTTCTTCTAAGGGTTTTAAAGTTTTAGGTCTTAAAACGTAAAGATCCATTTTGAGTTAATTTTTGTATATGGTATTAGGTAAGGGTCTAACTTCATTCTTTTGCATGTGGATATCTAGTTGTCTCTGCACCGTTTGTTGAAAAGACTGTCTTTATCGAATGGTCTTGACGGCTTGATTGAAAGTCATATATGCAAGGGTTTCTTTCTGGACTCTCTGTTTTATTCTGTTGGTCTGTATGTCTGTCTTTATGCCAGTGCCACACTGTTGATGACTGCAGCTTTGTAGTAAGTTTTGAAATTAGGACATGTGAGTCCCCCAGCTTTGTTCTTATCTTTCACGATTTTTTTTTTTTTTTTTTTTTTTTTTTTGGCTATTCGAGGTCCCTTGAGATTCCATCTAAATTTTAGGATTTATTCACTATTTCTGAAAAAAAAAACAATCACTGGGATTTTTATAGGGATTACATTAAACCTCTAGATCAATTTGGGTGGTATTGACATCTTAATATAGTAAGTCTTCCAATCTATGAACATGAATGTCTTTTTTTAAATGTCCTCTTCAATTTCTTTCAGAAATGTTTTGTAGTTCTCATTGTACAGGTCTTTCACCTCCTAAGTCAATTTTTAAGTATTTTATTATTTTTGATACTATAGTAAATAGAATTGTTTTCTTAATTTCCTTTGGATTGTTCATTGTTAGTGAATAGAAATACAAGTGATTTTTATGTGTTTACTATGTATTCTGCTATTTTGCTGAATTTGTTTATTAGTTGTAACAGTTTTTGTGGAATTTTTAGGGTTTTCTACATACAAGATCATATCATCAGTGATCAGAGATAATTTACTTATTTCTTTCCAATTTGAATGCCTTTAATTTCTTTTTCTTGCCCAATTGCTCTGGCCAGAACTTCCAGTACAGTGTTAAATAGAAGTAGTGAAAGCAGGCATCCTTCCTTTATTTCTGACCTTAGAGGAAAAGCTTTCAGTCTTTCACCACTGAGTATGATGTTCACTGTGGCTTTTTCGTATAATATGGCTTTTATTATGTTAAGGTTGTTTCCTTCTATTCCTAATTTGTTGAGTGTTTTTATCATGAAAGGGTATTGAATTTTGTCATATGGTTTCTCTGCATCAACTGCAATGATCATGTGTGAGTTTTTTTTCCTCCTTCATTCTGTTAATGTGTATTACATTGATTGATTTTTTTTTTTTTGTATGTTGAACTATCCTTGCACTCCAGAAATAAATCCTACTTGGTCAATTCATTAAATTCCATTTAATTGCATCAAATTATACCAAATTTAGTTTACTATTAATAGTATTTTGTTTAGGATTTTTGCATCAATGTTCATAAGGAAGACTGGATTGTAGTTTTCTTTTCTTGCAATATCTTTGTCTGGTATTGGTATCAGAGTAATGCTGGCCTCATAAGAATGAGTTAAATAGTGTTCCCTTCTCTTCAAGTTTTTTGAAAATTTTGGGAGGGTTTGGTGTTAGTTCTTTATGTGTTTGGTAGAATTCACCAGTGCAGCCATCAGGTCCAGAGGTTGTTTGTCAGGAGATTTTTGAGTATTGATTCAATCTCCTTACTAGTTATGTCTATTCAGATTTTCTATTTCTTCATGATTTGATTTTGTCTTGATAGGTTTTGTCTGTCTGGAAATTTTTCCATTCCATCTGTGTTATTCAAATTGTTGACATATAGTTGCTTATAGTACACTCTTATAATCTTTTTTATTTCTGTAGAATTAGTAGCAATGTTGCCACTTTCACTTATAATTTTAGTAATTTGAGTTTCTTCTTTTTTTCTTAGTCTAGAATCTAGCTTAAGGCTGGTCAATTCTGTTATCTTTTCAAAGAACCAACTTTTGTTGTCATTGATTTTCTCTATTATCTGTCTGTTCTCCATTTTGTTTATCTTTGCTCTGATCTTTATTTTTTCCTTCTTTCTGCTAGCTTGTTCTTTTTCTAGTTCCTTACATTGTAAGGTTAAGCTCCTATTTGAGACCTGTCTTTTTTAATATAAGCATGTATAGCCATCAGTTTCCCCCTTAGCACTGCTTTCACTGTCGAACAAGTTTTTAAATTTGTGTTTTCATTTTCACTCATCTCTAAGTATTTTATAATTTCCCTTGTGATTTCTTCTCTGATCCTTGGTTATTTAACAGGGTGTTGTTTAATTTCGTGATTTTTTAAATGTCCTTGTTGCTGATTTTTAACTTTACTCCTTTGTGGTCTGAAAAGATATCTTGTATGATGTAGATCTTTCAAAATCTATTGACACAGACTTTGTTGTTGCAACTAACCCCGTCATTGCAAGCCCTTCTCCGTCTGGTTGAAGTGACTTCCAGGAGATTTAAAGGGCTGGCACCCTTTTCTCCCTTCATTTTTCTCTTTTTCCTCTTTTGAGACGTAGACATTGAAGACTAGCACATTCAAAAGCAACCATATATGTGGAGAAAATAAAAAAGTCATTGCACATGCTCAGGGGAAGTCACGGGCTTAGAAAAGACCTAAGAAGACCTTAAGTTTATACTTTATGCTGATCCTTAGCACAGAGACAGCAACAATCAAAATTATAAAAACAAGAAAAACCAGCAAACTCTGGGGAAGAAAGAGATTTTGATTTCACAAGGCATACAAAGAAACTTTCCTATTTCAAAGGAAAAAAAAACAACAGAAACTGTCACTGAAAAAGACTTGGTGGTAGATCTACTAGACAAAGGCTTTGAAAGAACTATCTTAAAGATACTCAAATAACTAAGGGAAAATGTGGAGAAAGTGAAAGAAAATGTAGGAACAAATGAAAATATCAATAAAAAGCTAGAAATTTTAAAAAGAAACCAAAGGGAAATTCTGGAGCTGAAAAGTACAATAACTGAAATTTAAAATTCACTAGAGAAATGCAAAGGCAGATTTCAGCAGGCAGAATAAAGAATCAGGGAACTTGAAGATACAAAAATGGAAATTATTGAGTCTGAGGAGCAGAAATAAAAAGATTGAATAAAGGTGATCAGAGCCTAAGGGGTCTGTGGGATACCATCAAGCAAACCAACATAAACATTGTAGGAGCCCCAGAAGAAGAGAGAGCAAAGGGAGCAGAGAGACTATTTGAAGAAATAATGGCTGAAAACTTCTAAAATATGATGAATGACATGAATATAACCATCCAAGAAGCCCAAAAAGCTCCAAGCAGGATGAACTCAAAGAGACCCACACTGAAACATTCTAATCAAATTGTCAAAACCCAAAGACAAAGATTTTGAAAACAGCAAGAAAGAATGATTCATCACATGTAAGGAATCCTCAATAAAACTATTAGCAGATTTCTGATCAGAAACTTTGAAGGCCACAAGGCAGTGGGCCAATATATCCAAAGTGCTAAAAGAATAAAAACTGTCTACCAAGAAGCCCACATCCAGCAAAACTGTCCTTTAAAAGTAAGGGAGAAATTAACACATTCTTAGATCAACAAAAGCTGAGAATGTTCCTTACCACTAGACCTGCCCTATAGGAAACGCCAAAGGGAGTCCTGCGGGTTGAAATAAAGGGTGATAGACAGTAATTCAAGTGAAGAAGTAAAGATCTCAGCCAGGCATAGTGGCTCATGCTTGTAACCCCATCACTTTGGGAGGCCGAGGCAGGAGGATAACTTGAGCCCAGGAGTTCAAGACCAGCCTGAGCAATATAGGGAGACCCTATCTCTATAAAATAAAAATATTTTTAAAAATCGACCAAGCATGGTGGTGCACACCTGTGGTCCCAACTACTGGGGAGGCTGAGGTGGGAGAATCATTTGGGCCTGGGAGGTTGAAGCTGCAGTGAGCTGTCACCACACCACTGCACTCCAGCCTGGGCAACAGAGCAAGACCTTATCTCAAAATAAATAAATAAATAAATATCTCAGTAAAGGTAAATATATAGACAATTATAAAAGCTAATATTGCTGTAACAATGGTGTGTAATGCTGCTTTTTGTTTTCTACATAATTTAAGAGACTGATTTAAAAATAACATTATGCTTTTGGACACATAATATATAAAGGTGTAATTTTGTGACATCAATAACTAAAAGGGTTGGGGACAGAGCCATTCAGGGAGCAGAGTTTTGTTTATGCCATTGAAGCTAAACTGGTATAAATTCAGTGTAGACTGTTATAATTTTAGGATGTTAAAATGCAATCCCCATGGTAACAACAAAGAAAATAACTAAAGAATAAATACAAAAGGGAATGAGGAAGGGATTTAAATGTTTCACCATCAAAAAAATTAATTAAACACAAGACAGTGATACTGGAAATTAAGGACAAAAAAATCCATAAGGTATACAGAAAAAAAATGCAAAATGAAAGAAGTCCCTCTTTATCAGTAATTACTTTAGATGTAAATGGATTAAACTCTCCAAACTCTCTCTGTTAAAAGACAGAGATTGGCAGAATGGATTTAGAAAGCCAAATCCAACTATATGCTCTCTACAAGAGATGCACTTTAGATCCAGAAACATAAATAGATTGACAGTGAAAGGATGGGCAATGACATGCCACACAAATAGTAACCAAAAGAGAGCAAGAGTGGCTATACTAATACCAGACAAGATAGGCTTTAAATCAAAAAAGGTTACAAGAGGGAAAGAAGGACATCATATATTAATAAAAGGCTCAATACAGCAAGATATAATAATTATAAATATTTATGCACCTAATAACAGTCCATCAAAATATTTATATCTTACACTGGGAAGATTGTTGCTGGCTCTCAGTCTGCTTCCAGTCTGCTCATATTGCTTTTGTTGTAATGATGGTCATATGTGGGAGCTCAGTGTCAAGAGGGCAGACTTGAGCCCACACTGCCAGGCTTCAGACCTCAGCTATTAGCTGAGTGCCCTGGGCAAGTTACCTCACTGGGCCTTGGTTTCCTCATCTGTTGGAGTGGGGATGGTAATAGTACCTATGTCCAAGGCCATAAGTCCAATTGTGAATGTTGAATGAAGGGATATAGGACAGTATCTGGTACACAATTATTATAGATTTTTCATTGACATTTTATACATTCTGTTTTCTTCAAAGACTTTTTGGTTCCTGTTTTGCACTCAGATACTTCCTTTTCCTGGAGTTTATTTGGGAGCACCATGTGAGGTAGTACCTTTATTTCTAGTCACAGGGTGAGCCCTCATCCCAGCCTGCTTCCACCACTCTGAAAGGCCACCATGTCATAGCCTAAGTTCTCGTGTGTTGTTATGCCCATGGTTGTGTGGAGTGTTGGCCTGTTCCAGCACCAAAACCAAAACTGTAATTTTATCGTTTCATTTGATAGCACAAGCTTTCTCATCACTCTATTTTTTATTTTGCTCAACTCTTCTTGCTTTTTCTACCAAGTAAAACTTGGATTCATTTTGCAAACTCCTATCTACAAAAATGCAAAAAATTTTCTTGGAAACTTTAATTAAAATTGCATTCTATTATAGATTCAGTTAGGAATAACTGATATTTTTAAATCAGTTTAAGATAGTGGGATGATTTCTTATCCAAAAACAAGGTTTGTCTTTCCAATATATTTCTCAAAAATTTTTTTGAGTTTTTTTCATAAGTCCTGCACATTTTTATTCAGTTGATTCCTTGGGTTTATGTTGTTTTTCTTACTAGTGTAAATAGCATTTTTCTGCAACATTTTCTAACTGGTTGTTAGAAAATGTTTCTTCTAACTGATAGAAGAAAATCAATAACTTTTTGTATGTTGAGGACTAAGCTCTGATTTTTTTATCTTGCCTATATTCTTATCTAAGGGGTCTGGGGAGTCATGCCCTACAAACCATAAATTCTCATCAGATGGTTTTATCTAACCCTATATGCTGTGACTTACTTTCCATCTGACTCTGGCATGACACTACACGACCAAGAAGAAAATAAAAATATTTTACCCCAAAACATGTTTCTTTGCCACATTTTGAAATGGCCCTGCAAAGCTGTCCTTTACTGGGGAAAATTTGCATCTGTAAGGAATCTCTGTTAACATAGCTAGCTCTTTTTCTTCCAGGCCCTCCCAATTCTGAAGAGATTAACCGAGAGTCTAGCAGCTTTTAAAGGTCTCAGTAGGAAACACTTGTCATTGATTGTCTCTAAGGGCAGCCACTATGAGACTTCAGAAGAACCTTGGTCTCCACAGTCTTTTATCTTAACCTGAGCATTTCCTTTCTATGATCCCAGGTCTTTAGACAAACTCAACCAATTGTCAACCAGAAAATGTTTAAATTTACCTGTAGCCTGGAAGCCATCTCTCCCCGCTTTGAATTTTCCTGCCTTTCTGGATTAAACCAATGTATTTCTTAAATGTATTTGATTGATGTCTCATGCCTCCCTAAAATGAATAAAACCGAGCTGCACCCCAGCCACCTTGGGTACATGTTCTCAGGACCTCCTAAGGGCTGTGTCATGGGTCATGGCCACTCATATTTGGCTCAGAATAAATCTCTTAAAATATTTTACAGAGTTTGACTCTTTTCATCAATGATATATTTTTCTAAGTGGCTCACTAAATTTTCTCTCCCTAATCTCCCCTCCTTTCTCTTTCTTTCTCTCTTTCTCTCTGTCTATATATATATATATTTTTTTTTCTCTTTTTTAAAAAAACTTTGTTCAGATGATTTTCTGGGTAGACAATCCTATCTTTAATAAGGACAGTTTTGTCTCTTCTTTTCCAACAGTTATACTTTTATTTTTACTGTCTTATTGCATTGGCTTCCAACACAACACTGAATGGTAGCGTAAGATCTGCACTGTTTGCCCCCACCCCATTTTTTTTGTACTGTAGTAAGCATTCTTCTAATGCAGGATTTTTTAACCCAGGGTTAGATCTACGAATGGAATCCCTGAATTCCTGGACATGATTTCTGTATATGAGCATCTATGCATTTGTGTAAGGTGAAATTGTGTAGACTCTTAAAAGGGTCCATGACCACAAAGATAAGAACCACTATTTTAGCTTTTTGTGTAAAATATGATGTGAGCTCTTGATTTGAAATGTATATCCTTTATAGAGTTAATTCTACTCCTAAATTTCTTACTAGGTTTTACCTTGTCTGGCTGTTGTTGTTTCTTAGTTAGAAATTGATGTTTCAGGGATCTATTGAAGCAATTGCATATTTTTTCCCATTTTATGTTAATGTGACTTACATTAATGTATTCCCTAGTGTTTGTGGCAACACTGTACTTTAACTTCATATTATAGTTCTGGTATAGTGGTCCTTAATATGCTATTGGATTTTAGTTTTTAATATTGGCTAGAATTTTTGTGATAATGTTATGGGATTTTTAGGGTGTCACTTTTCTGGCCTGAAACCTCTATGGCCAGTGGCGCCTTTGCCCAAGTTCTTGTCCTGTGTCCAGGAAGAATGAGGTACACAGACAAGTGGAGGGTGTGCAAGACAGAGAAGCTTTATTGAGTGTTAGGGGAGCTCACAGGAGACCCGCAGGGGGCAGCCCCTCTCTGTAGGCGGGTTGTCTTGTCGGCGGGTTGTCTTGTCAAATGTTCAGCTCTCAGCAGAGAGAAGGCCCTGGAGTGGGTGGCTCCTCTCTGCAGGCAGGTCATCCCATTGTCTCTGCAGCTCTTAGCAGAGAGGAGGCCCTCGAGAGCGTGTCTCCTCTCTGCAAACAGGGCATCTCAACTAGTGTTCAGCTCTCAGCAGAGAGAAAGCCCTGGAGAGGGTAGCTCCTCTCTGCAGCTGGTCGTCCTGACATCCCTTCAGGTCCTGAAGCTCTCAGCAGAGAGAGCACCTCCTCTCTGCAGCTGGTCGTGCCATGCTCTGCCCTGCTCTGACTGAGCCTGGGGCTTTTAAAGGCCTCAGAGAGGGGAAGTGCATGCTGATTGGTCCATGTGCAGCCATGTGCAGGCCCAGAAGAAAGCACCTTGAGTTCCCCTCTGGTCCGTAGGACGGGCAACCCGGCCCCCAGGCTTCAGGCCTGCCCCAGCCTGAAGGTGGGGCTTCACTGGGGACCCATCCTCTTCTGCCCAGGAGCCTATCTGCCTCCTGCAGCCATCCATGGTGCCCAGGCTGCTGGTACCAAGGGGCACCGGTGCCCAGCCACCCTCAGCACCCCCCCAAGCCTCCCCTCCTGCACTTCTCAGTGCCCACAGTTTGGAGGGGGCCAAGTCAGCAGGGGGCTGGCATGTCAGCACTGCCACAAGCATGCACCCACCCGGCCAGGCTGTGACAGTGCCCAGGCTCAGCCCCAACTCTGCTCTGAGATTGGAGTGGGTGGTGGGAGCGGGAAGAAGCTGGGCAGCGGGAACAGGCACCTCCAGGCCTACAAGGGAAAGAGGGGCCTTCCCTGGCTCCCCAAGAGTGCAGCGATGCCTGGGTCAGCAGCCCCAGTTGGGGCAGCTGAAACTGCACCAGGAGTGGGGGCTGGCTCCTGCCTCCTCCATGGAGCAGAAGGCCCAGATCCACAGCCACGACTTGGGCAGTTGTACCTGGGGAACTCTCACCTCGCCAAACTGCAAGGGGCAGGGATCCCACTTATCCCCGGCTCCTGCTGGCTCCGTGGAGCATGGTACCTGGCCATGTCCTCTCGCAGCCTGGGGCAGGGTCTCCAGACCTGGGCCAGCATCCCAGACAGGGGCAACACCGCCGTGAGCTCCCCTTCACCCAGCACACCACCCGGCCCGGCCCCATGGCAGCGGCCCCCAGGGAGGCAGTCTGCGGGGTTGGGGGCCTGTCTGCCTCTTCCATGGGCCCTCCCTGAGCAGCCAGTGTGATGGCAGCGGCCACACCAGATGGGCTGCCGCTGCCATCAGTAATATTTATAGTGATATTTATCTGTAGAGTTACTTTTAGGGACTTTTTTTTTTATCAAGCTTTGGTCACAGGTTATGCAACATTTAAAAATGAATTGGGAAAAAGTTTATCTTTTTATGTTCTAAAACAAGTTAAATAGCATGAAGTGCTTGTCCTTGAAGCTGTGAAACTCACCCACAAACTGCCTGAGCTGGCACCTTTGGGAACGGACTTCATTCCTCCCTGGGCCCCAGGCTGAGCAGGTCTGGCCTGGGTCACCTCATCCACTCCAGACGCCGCAAAATCACAGCAACCCTTCAGGGCCCTCTCCTGGCAGCGCCTCCCCTAGTCCCGGTGCTTGGACACTCCTCCCATCTGCACCGAGGAGAGGGCGGCACTCCAATCCCTGCATTACCCCTGGAACTGCACGCTCTGAACCAGGCCCGGTGCCCTTTCTGCCCAGCTGCCCGGCTGCTGCCAGCCCCACTCTGCGGAGCCAGCAGCACAGTGAGGCCCGTCCTGATGGCCTCCTGGAGCTGGAGCTTAGGCCAAGCCACAGGGCATCAGGGAGGATGGACGTTCAAGGGCTGGATCTGTTTGCCCCAGGGTCCTGGCACCCAACAGAAAGGAAAGCCAGGCTAATGACGGCTGTGTCCCTACACTTGACAGAGTCCTCCCTCCCTCCTTATCAAAGTCCTGTTTAAAGGGAATGGAGCCAGGCTGGAGAGAGAGTGCCTAGCTCTGCAGGGGAGCCGGTCTGGGGAAGCTGGGATCTCTCTCCCGCCCTCCCCTCTGCACTGTTTCCAGGGCAGCCCCAGGCAGTGGGGGGCGCCAGACAGTGGTGCTCCATTCCCTTCCATGCCGACGCGCCCAGCTACCCACTCCACCCAGCCCTGGAGGACATGGAAGGGCCTCAACCATCCAAATCCCACCCAAAACTGAGCCCAGAGGCACCCACTAAACATCTGTGACCCCACCCAGGGTGGGGCAAGAGGGCGCAAGCCCCCCAGTCCAGATGCTGGTGACGGTGTGTGCTGGGCGCAGACCCCGCTTCCTTGAAGACTGAGGGCAGTGCCCCCAATCCCGCTGACCTGCTGTGCGTGCGCCTGCCATGGGGGAGGGTGCCAGGGGAGAGGCACTGGGGGTGTCTGAGCGACCCCCACCCCTGTTGCAGGACTTCAGGGCCACAGGTGCTGCCAAGATGCTCCAGGGCACCTGCTCCGTGCTCCTGCTCTGGGGAATCCTGGGGGCCATCCAGGCCCAGCAGCAGGAGGTCATCTCGCCGGACACTACCGAGAGAAACAACAACTGCCCAGGTGCCAGGGGTCGGGGGCCGGGGGCTCTGGGCATTTGGGGGGCAGTTGGGACCAGTACCCAGGTGCCAGGGGTCGGGGGCCGGGGGCTCTGGGCATTTGGGGGGCAGTTGGGACCAGTACCCAGGTGCCAGGGGTCGGGGGCCGGGGGCTCTGGGCATTTGGGGGGCAGTTGGGACCAGTACCCAGGTGCCAGGGGTCGGGGGCCGGGGGCTCTGGGCATTTGGGGGGCAGTTGGGACCAGTACCCAGGTGCCAGGGGTTGGGGGCCGGGGGCTCTGGCATTCGGGGGCAGTGAGGTCAAACCCACAAACAGGCACGGGGCCAGGAAACGGGGCTCCAACAGCAGTCCCTCCTGAGGCTGGCTCGTGACAGGTCCTGTGCCCCACAGAGAAGACCGACTGCCCCATCCACGTGTACTTCGTGCTGGACACCTCGGAGAGCGTCACCATGCAGTCCCCCACGGACATCCTGCTCTTCCACATGAAGCAGTTCGTGCCGCAGTTCATCAGCCAGCTGCAGAACGAGTTCTACCTGGACCAGGTGGCGCTGAGCTGGCGCTACGGCGGCCTGCACTTCTCTGACCAGGTGGAGGTGTTCAGCCCACCGGGCAGCGACCGGGCCTCCTTCATCAAGAACCTGCAGGGCATCAGCTCCTTCCGCCGCGGCACCTTCACCGACTGCGCGCTGGCCAACATGACGGAGCAGATCCGGCAGGACCGCAGCAAGGGCACCGTCCACTTCGCCGTGGTCATCACCGACGGCCACGTCACCGGCAGCCCCTGCGGGGGCATCAAGCTGCAGGCCGAGCGGGCCCGCGAGGAGGGCATCCGGCTCTTCGCCGTGGCCCCCAACCAGAACCTGAAGGAGCAGGGCCTGCGGGACATCGCCAGCACGCCGCACGAGCTCTACCGCAACGACTACGCCACCATGCTGCCCGACTCCACCGAGATCGACCAGGACACCATCAACCGCATCATCAAGGTCATGGTGAGCCGCGGGCGGGAGCACCGTCCACGCGCCAGGGGTGGCCACGGTGGGCCGTCCACCCACTCCGGGCCTCACTTTACCCCTCTGTGAGTGCGGAGGCCGAAGGAGGAAGCTCCGGGCAGGGCCTGGGCCACTCAGGTGTCCCTCCATCCCCACCCAGACTCGAGGTGCAGCCGCCCCAGGTCTCGAGGCACACGGCTAACCAGCATGTCTGTCTTTTCTGCAGAAACACGAAGCCTACGGAGAGGTGAGTGGCGCTTCCCTTCCTGCCAGTGCTGGCCGGCAGCTGACCCAGCAGAGATGACCGCGCCAGGCTGCCGACTCCTGGCGCCTCCAGGCTGGAACAGATGAGAGGAGAGGGAGTCACCTGCTCCATGTTGGACCTGAGGCCTTGGAGTCTGGAGAAAGGGCTCCCAGCCAAAGCTAGGCTGTTTAGATCCCGTGAGGGTCAGCGTTAGGGTCACCCACAGAGCACGTGTTACAAGGAGAGGTCGAGGGTCTGGCCTCCGGGCAGGTGGGATCCATCCACCCTGGACTCGAGGCCCGAGCCCAGCCCAGCAGGTCAGGGGAGAAGGAACTGACATCATCGGGGTCCATGACATCCCCACCTCCCTGTGTGTCCCAGCTCCAGCTCTCAGGAAGGGGAGCAGGCATCTGAGATCTCCCCCGTGAGGCTTCCTGCAAAAACGTGCCCTGCCTCAGAATCGCTGCTCAGTAACAGTGGTTTCATTGCCGTGTACAAATGGTGCCTCCCTCACCAGTGCCCCTTGCTCTTCCATCCTTTTGTAAAATTTATTCTTTTATATTTGTTTTTTTAGAGACAGGGTCTTTCTCTGTCACCTAGGCTGGAGTGCAGTGGTACGATCACGGCTCACTGCAGCCTTGAACTCTGAGGCTCAAGCCATCCTCCCACCTCAGCCTCCCAAGTAGCTGGGACTACAGGCACCTGCCACCATACCTGGTGTGCGCATGTAGTTCCAGCTACTTGGGAGGCTGAGGTGGGAGGATCGCTTTCGTATTGTTTTTTTGTAGAGATGGGATCTCACTATGTTGCCCAGCCTGGTCTCTAACTCCTGGCCTCAAGCAGTCCTCCCTGCCTCGGCCTACCAAAATGTTGGGATTCCAGGCGTGAGCTGCACCCGGCCTTTCTTCCCTTCTATTTTCTGTCATGGCTTAAGCCAGGCTTGGTTTTTTAAACTTGCCTAGAACACCTGACCGAGAGCCAAACTCTTTGGCTTGTCCCTGATGGGGGCAGAGCCTCACAGCACCCCATGTCTCACAGCTCCCTCACGCCCGCCCAGGTTCTCAGGGCATTTCAGCATCTCCTTGGCCCCTGCTGAGAGTCGTGGGCTACACGTTCTGAGACCCTGCCCTGCCACCTGAGGAATGTCCCACCCATGCAACCTTCTGTCTCTGCTTCCTCGTTTCAGTGCTACAAGGTGAGCTGCCTGGAAATCCCTGGGCCCTCTGGCCCCAAGGGCTACCGTGGACAGAAGGTAAGATGCCCAGATTACCTGCAGGGTCTGCGCTACCAGGAAGCCCCTGATTTGTTTTGAAATCCACACTTGGCCGGGCGTGGTGGCTCATACCTGTAATCCCAGCACTTTGGGAGGCCGAGGCGGGCGGATCACAACGTCAGGAGATCGAGACCATCCTGGCTAACATGGTGAAACCCTGTCTCTACTAAAAATACAAAAATTAGCCGGGCGTAGTGGCATGCGCCTGTAGTCCCAGCTACTCGGGAGGCTGAGGCAGGAGAATCGCTTGAACCTGGGAAGCGGAGGTTGCAGTGAGCAGAGATCACGCCACTGCACTCCAGCCTGGGCAACAGAGTAAGACTCTGTCTCAAAAAAAAAAAAAAAAGAAAAGAAAGCCACATTTAAGGCCAGCTGTATCTCAAATTGTCTCAACACTTCTGTCCCTGGAGAAACTAAAACTCTATATGTCTAATTCCTTTTAAATAGTATATTGAGAAAAGCAGAAGCTTGTAAAAAATGAGATATGCCATTAAAATACTTTGGTAAGCAAGCATATTCAAGTAAGTAAAATGTGAGATGCACTACACTTAATAATATGATTGCTCATTAATATGAAGGAACCTCTTTTGTGGCTTACTAAATAAGCAGTTTTAGGGAGCCTGGTTTGAATGTCCCCTGCATTTTCTGGTTTGAACATCCCCTGCATTTTCCTAACAGAGGTGCATCAAATAAAGTCCTTCCAAAACTCACTAACAGAGTATGTGAAACTCCAACAATTCACATCTGTTAAAAATTATAAAGAAAAGCATAGGAGGAGAAAGTAGCTTCTAAGGAGATGAAATAAGGAATTGACCATCATAGAGGATGTTACTGCTACGTAGCTTCGTGTTTTTCTAAATTTGGATAACAGCTGTCTAGACCAGTAGGTATCTGGATGTACTTTCTCCAGGATGAGACATCTCGAGGCTGCAGGTCAAATCCTGCCATCTCCCTCCCTGGCTTCTCCAGTCCTGGTGGCAATGCCGACCCTACTACAGCTGGGAATGAATTTGCCACTTGGGGCAGCCTTGGCTGCACACAGCAGTGCAGTGACCCGTTCTGTTGGGGGGGCCACTGGAAGCTGCCACAGGGATCACTGTGGTTAGAGTTTGAGGGGTGGCAAGGTGCCAAGCGGAGCCCAGGACAGGGCACAGCTGTGATGTTCCAGAAGCCTCTGCCCACCTCATCCCCTGCCCTGAGTTTCCTCCCTTTTCTTCCTTTTGACCTCTTAATTCTTCCCCTTTCCTCTGCTCCTCTTTGCACTTAAATTGGGAGCATATCAATAAATAGATGAATTTATTTAATAAAGTTCTGTATCATAGGTTAAAATTTTAATTCCAAGAGAGTGTAACCTTTATGTGGTGTTCTGAAGTCCTGATCTGTCTAAAGTTACTTAGATAAAGGAATTAATCTTTGTAGTGACGGTGACCCAGGCATCGCTGGAGAATCAGAGCCCAGTGTTGGCCACAGTCACAGCTACTGGGTGCAGAAGGGACCCCCACGGGCCAGGCACCCCCACCCCAGGGGTCTCTTCTGGCTCCATTTTGCAGGTGGCTTTGTGGGAAGCTTCCCTCAGAGCTGGGAGAAATGGGTCAAAGCAAACCCTTGTCTGACAGAGGCTGGCCCTTTGGGGAGCAGCTGACACCAAGACTTCTCCACTTGGGCAGGGGAATCAGTAACCTCTGCTGTGTCACCTCTCAGAGGAGCTGTGGCAGGGTCCCCAGCTGCCTACCGCCCACCCTACCCTGCCTCGATGTACTCTTTTCTCTGCTTTTAGGGTGCCAAGGGCAACATGGGTGAGCCGGGAGAGCCTGGCCAGAAGGGAAGACAGGTGAGTGTCCTTGCCCCACGCCCGCCCCGCCTGCAGCCCAGCGCCCCAGGGCTGGGCTCACACTGCTGCGTTGTCCTTCACAGGGAGACCCGGGCATCGAAGGCCCCATTGGATTCCCAGGACCCAAGGTGAGTGACCTCGGCCAGGGGCTTGGCTCCACCCTGAGGCCCCAGCACTGCCAGGCAGGCTCCCCCCAGCCCAGCCTCGGCCTCAGCCTCTACGACCCTCCCCCCAGTTACCAAGGAACAGAAGCACCTCGATAACTTGATGGCCGTCCCAAAACCCAGCCTCCAGCCCGACCCAGGGCTCAGCCTCCTCCGCAGACTGTTTGTCGAGAACACTAGATGCCAGCGGCCCACCGAGCACTCCCCTCAGCCTGCAGGGCTGGCCCTTCCCTGCCTGTGTCTCTGCAGAGCTCCTCACTAATGCCCCTCTCTCCTCCTGCCCCCAGGGCGTTCCTGGCTTCAAAGGAGAGAAGGTGAGGCTCTTGCCCTGACAGACCTCAGACCTGCGCCAGCCTCGGCCCAGACCCACCTCTTGGCGTCCGCCGCAGCCTGTCACTGCTCCTGGGGCACCGGCCTGGTCTTTTCTCAGTGGTGGCTTTGGGGGCTCCTGGGGGGTCCTGTGGCCTTGAGTTTGGCCCAAGGGCTTTGCCCCCCAGAGGCAGCAGTGCCCATGATGCTTTGAGGCACCGAGCTCACTGCGCCGGCTTTCCTCCTACACAGGGTGAATTTGGAGCCGACGGTCGCAAGGTAGGCTGGCTGGGTAGGCAGAGCCCCTCCTTCCTGCTGCTCAGGGCAGAAGGACCGGGGCTAATGGAGTTCCCTCTTCCTTCTCTCTTCAGGGGGCCCCTGGCCTGGCTGGCAAGAACGGGACCGATGGACAGAAGGTAGAGGGAGCCTCGGGCTCACAGCTGGACTGGTCTCACAGAGGCATCCCAGCCTCTGCAGGGCCCCCAGATCCAGCCTGATCTGTCAGCTTACACATGTGTACACACGCATACACACACACACACACACACACACACACACGAACTTCAGCTCCTGCCACATCCCACTGCCCCACCCAGGGCTTCACCAGCCTGCATCTAATTCATGGCTGCACATCCCGGCTTGGGGCAGCTCCACAGCTGCACACAGAGGCCAGCAACAAGCCTACCCACTCCCAGGTCAAACCACAGGACAGCCCCACCCACTCCTTCCATGGCTCCCCGTGGGAACATCCTCTGTGCCCAGGGAGCTCTGCCCTCAGGGCCTCTGGGAGGCAGCCAGGGATGGCCTGTTCCTGCACAACGGCCACTCTGCCTCCCCGGAGACAGCTCCACAGCAGCCGTGGCCTCATGTGGGCACCCGTGTGCCAGGAGGAGAGCGCTGCAGCCCTGCGGGGCAGAACCGGGTGGGCTGTGTCTTGGTCGTTGGCACACATGGACCCCAGAACCCCGCCCTGAGACTCCTCCTGCCCCCTTCTCCTTCAGGGCAAGCTGGGGCGCATCGGACCTCCTGGCTGCAAGGGAGACCCTGGAAACCGGGTAAGGGCCGTTTGCACCCCTCCTTCAGCCTCGGCCCAGGGGGTGTGGGTGCCTGACCGGGTGGGAGGGTAGTTGCTGCTGCAGTGGGAGCGTGGGTTCTCCCGGCAGCCCAGCAGCCCCAGCCCAGCAGCCCCAGCCCAGCATTCTGCCGGGTCGGAGTCATGTGAGGAACTCCCCCTGGGAGCTCCTGGCGGATCCCCGTGGCCTGGAGACCTGATGCATCCCAAACTTCGGTGTCACTGGACAGCTCCATTTCCCTGAGCAGCAGATCCAGGCCTGGCCTCTTGGTCACTGAGCCTGGGCCTCACAGTGAGGGTGGGAGGTGCGTCCCGGGCTGGGACAATGGAGCACTTGGGCCCTGGCTCATGGGGAGAACCCCACCCGCCGTGTGCCGAGCTCCACCTCTCACTCCTCTCTCAGGGCCCCGACGGTTACCCGGGGGAAGCAGGGAGTCCAGGGGAGCGAGGAGACCAAGGCGGCAAGGTAAGTGGCCTTGTCAGGGTACGGGGCAGGCGGGGTCACCAGCTTCCAGGGGCCTCCTGGAGGCAGCCCCAGCTGAGAAGCTGAGCAGAGAGGGCCTTTCTGGAAACACTGGTCAGTGAGGAGCCAATGGCCGTGGGATGTGGTGGAGGGTGCCCTGCCCGTTGCTTCATCAGCTTCTAACCAGGGCTTGGGCGGCCCCGCCGCTGCTCACCGAGGCCTCGGCAACAAACCCACCTCCTCCCAGGTGGAGCCCCAGGGAGCCCCACCCACACCTCCTGGAGCTCCCCATGGGAACGTTGGTGCCCCAGGGGCTCTGCCCTCCTGGGCCGCCTGCAGTGTCGCCCCGCCCCTGGCGGCCCCAGGATCCCCAAGGGCTTTTTTCTGGGAGCTTGGACTTAGGGCTTCCCACTTTCTGTCCACCTTCCCTCAGCCCAAGCCCAAGTCTGGCTGAGTCCTCTGAGCAGATGCACAGGCGTCCTGCCCGTGACACACACTCTGCCCTCAGCTGGCACGGAGGTTCCAGCAGCCCCCAGCCAGCATCTGGCATCCCAGGTGCCCCGTGGACATCAGGGAGGTGCAGTCCCAAGCCCGACCGTGGGTCCTGCCCCCGCAGCGGGCATCCTGCACCCCCCTTCCCCTGCCAAAAGACGTGAGGCTGATTCTGCAAACCCTTCCAGGGGGACCCTGGCCGCCCAGGACGCAGAGGGCCCCCGGGAGAAATCGGGGCCAAGGGAAGCAAGGTGAGCCCCTCTGCCTCTTCGCCTGCAGCTGAGCTGGCCACACTCACGCCCATGGCCCAGATGAACAGTCACGCTGGCCACCATCTCTGCTGTCACCATGGTGCCGCATTGGGCTCTGGGGACACGGGGAGGGACAGGAAGAACAGGCCATGTGCCCTGAGCCACCAGCCCCTCTGACCTGTGCCCTCCTCACGAGGCTGAACAAGTTCCAGGGGACCCTGCAGGGCCCCCATGTGCCTGGCAAGCAGATTCCGCTGGAAGATAATAGGGGCTCCACACCACACACCGCACAGGCGTGACCATGCCTCAGGGCCCCTGCCTCTGGGTGACTGTGCTGTCCTCTCCTTCTTCAGGGGTATCAAGGCAACAGTGGAGCCCCAGGAAGTCCTGGTGTGAAAGGAGCCAAGGGCGGGCCTGGGCCCCGCGGACCCAAAGGCGAGCCGGTGAGTCCCTCCTGCCCCTGCCTCAGGGCCCCGCTCTGGGCATCCTCCTTGCAGCTTGAGGAGGACCATGGGGGAAGGGCACCTGGGCTGTAGGCAGGATCCCCTGCTGGCAAGGCACAGCCAGGCCCCCATCCTCCCAAGAAGTGGACCCGGACCACCCCACGGGACCCCCCAGAGCTGGACTTAGAGGTAAAGCCCAGGCAGGTCCTCCATGGTGTTCCCTAAACCCAGCACCAGCTGCCCAGGGCATCCTGTGAGGGCTGAGCAGGGCCCGTCCCAGTGCTGACCACTCCAAGGGGACTCTGTCTGAGCATGGGGCCTGCCTGGGAGTGACCGCAGTGACTGGACAGCACCAGGTCCCCACCAGGCCCCAGCCCATCACCTAAAACGCCACTCACCAGACATCCAACTCCACCTGGAGCCTCCCCAGATCATTCCTAAATCCTCGGCATGGGCGGGACCGACGCAGCAGAGGGACGAGGGCTGGCAGCAGAGCCACTGGCGCAGGCTGAGGCTGTTGGGAAGGAGCCTGGGGATCGAGGTCCCAGGTCCCAAAGCCAGAGCCCTCCTGTAGAGAAGGAGCATCGGCCCCGGCACAGCCCCCACCCTCCACAGGCTCTGGGCTTGGACTCAGCCCCCTCCCTCACCCACACGCCTGTTCTCTGCAGGGGCGCAGGGGAGACCCCGGCACCAAGGGCAGCCCAGGCAGCGATGGCCCCAAGGGGGAGAAGGTGAGTCCTCGTGTGGAGGCAGCCCAGGGTCTCACTGTGGTGCCCATGGGCCCTGCTGACGAGGGCCCCAACCCCATTCCTCCCAGAGAACAACAGAACCCCAGGGCCTCACTCTCCAGAGTTCACTCTCTGCAGAGTCTGGGAATGCAGCCCTGAGATCCCCACACCCCATTCTCTGCTGAGGAAGCTCCACTACCCACCCAGGCACACCCCGCACAGCTGTGCAGGCACCATTCACCCCCGGCCCACTGAGGCACCACTCACACCCCCCGGCCCCCACTGAGGCACCTCTTACCCCCAGCCCACTGAGGCATTGCTCACCCACGTGACCTCAGGGGTGATGCTGAAGGGCTGTGTGGTAAAACCCCGGCCACCAGCTCCCCTTGACATCAGGTGAAGGGGCTTCCTCCCAGGAAGTGGACGAGGTCCTACCCACGTGTGGGTGGCCTCAGGGGGACCGAGAGACACCGTGCTCAGAGCGGCAGCTACAGGCACCGGGAAGGAGCTATGGGTGAAACAGGCGACTGTTGCAGGTCCCCCGGGACAGACGGGGTTCTTCCTCCCAGGCCCCCTTCCCCAACCCCCGGCCACACCCGCCTCTCACATGGGACCCAGGCCGGAGGCCTCAGCTGAGACCCGTGGGGCCTCCCTTCCCTTCCCACAGGGGGACCCTGGCCCTGAGGGGCCCCGCGGCCTGGCTGGAGAGGTTGGCAACAAAGGAGCCAAGGTAGGGGAGCAGGGTGGGCCGCACCCCAAGGTAGGGGATCTGAGGGGGTGCAGGGGGGCTGCACCCCAAGGTAGGGTGGCCGGGACTGCACCCCAAGGTAGGGGACCCGGGTGGGTGCTGCACCCCAAGGTAAGGGGGGCCCAGGTGAGGGCTATACCTCAAGGTAGGGGACCCAGGCGGGTGCTGCACCCCAAGGTAAGGGACCAAGGCAAGGGCTGCACCCCAAAGTAGGGGACCCAGGTGAGGGCTGCAACCCAAGATAGGGGTGCTTAGGCAGGGGCTACACCCAGAACCCAGCCTACTCCACTCAGTGTGCTCAGGGCTGAAGGTCAAGTGGAGCCACAGCCTCCGGGGAGGGTCATAGGGGCCGGGGCCAGACCCGTCTTACCCCCGAGGCCCTGCAGTGTCCACAGGATTGATACTGGGGACTCCAGGGTGCTGCTGTCAGTCAAGAGAACCCCAAATTCCTCCCCTTTCTTCCAGGGAGACCGAGGCTTGCCTGGACCCAGAGGCCCCCAGGGAGCTCTTGGGGAGCCCGGAAAGCAGGTCAGTGTCAGTGCAGGAGGCCGGTGCCCTCTGACCCCACGGGTGGGTCTCCCCTATCCATGTGGGGACAGCCTGGAGCTAGCCACTGTCCCCATAGCAAACCCAGGCAGCAGAGCCTGGCCTCAGAAGCCAGGACCTGCTCCCCTAGACCCCGAGTACCTCATACCCACCCTCAGCCCCAGCCCCCCATCCTGCCCTGAAGGACCCAGGTTGTGGAGTCAGGGGCAAGGCAGTGGGCCTGAGGTCCTGGATGGGCCACAGGGAAAGGAGGAGCTGGGACCCTCAAGACAGAGGTCCACGGCCCCCACAGGCAGCAGGAGGAGCTGCGGCCATGTGGCCTGGTGGTCAGGGCTGGACGGGGCATGTCAGGTGACCCCTGGGCATGGCCAGTCCCTGCCTGTGCTGACTTCTGAATTTCTCTCCTGCCCTCAGGGATCTCGGGGAGACCCCGGTGATGCAGGACCCCGTGGAGACTCAGGACAGCCAGGCCCCAAGGTACGTGCCCCTCCCCCAGCAGGACGTATTAGGGGTTCGGGGCAGCTGCCTGAGGAGCAGGACAGGGGGCCGGCCTGGGGGACCCTGTTGCCGGCAGACGTGCCTCAGGACGGGCCTGTGCCTCCTGTTCTCAGCTCTGGAGTGAGGGGATGCCTCCGGGGTCCAGGAAGCCCCCCTGGCTCTCCTCTTCAGCAGTGACCCTTGGGTGTGCATGGCACATCCTTCCTGAGGCAGGGCCTGAGGGCAGCTACGTGGCCTGAGTAGGGTCCTCCCCGCGTGTGGGCAGGCTTCGGGTCTCTAGGCACGTCCAGCCCCCACTGGAGGTGGACAGGGCGAGGTTGGCCCTGCCAGGCCTCTGCTCACAGCCAGAACTCGACGGCACCCCTAGCCCACTTCCACCCCAGTGTGCACCTTGCGCCCTGTTGAGCACAGCCCCCCAGCCCCACCCCGTCCTATGACCATGCTGACCGACTCAACGTCCTCCTCCAGGGAGACCCCGGCAGGCCTGGATTCAGCTACCCAGGACCCCGAGGAGCACCCGTGAGTCACAGCCTGGGATGGCAGCTCCCAGGAGTGGGTGGACATTGTCCCAAGGGCCCTGAAGATTCCTAGTAGTTCCCTCAAGGCCTCCTCTGTGCAGAAGAAAGTGTGAGGTCCCTCCTGCGGGACAGAGTGGTGAGAAGGCTTCGGGTGACTCAGTGAAGGATAGGTCCAGCCCAGCATCAGGAAAAGAGCACAGCTCAGAACGCAGCACAGTGGCCTCACCCAGAGTGTGAATGAGCGAGGGAGGGAAACGGGGCTGCAGAAAGCTGCCCAGAGGGAGGAAGGAGCACTGGGATCTGAGGCTGAGTCACCCTGGCTTCTGTTTGCTTCACAGGGAGAAAAAGGCGAGCCCGGCCCACGCGGCCCCGAGGTATGTGTGGGTCCTGGCCACCTGTGCCCACCCAGGGTGGGGGTCTGCACGCCCAATTGCTGGGAACACAATGCCCACCGTCACTGACAGGACCACCCCTGTCTTGAGATGGTCCTGGCTCCCCAAGGCCCAGCCATGTCACCTATGCTGAGCTCTGGGGGAGCTGTCAGCCACTGGCTGGTCCCTTTTCAACCAAAGTTCAGGCTTTGCAAAAAAACCACATAGATGCTCCCGTTTAAAGGACCCCAAAATGCCAGATCGATTTTTCCACATAAAAATCTCACTGGTGTCCCTGGTAGAGACAGCTCCTCTGTCCCAGGCTAACATGTGTTCCCTGTCACAGGGAGGCCGAGGCGACTTTGGCTTGAAAGGAGAACCTGGGAGGAAAGGAGAGAAAGGAGAGCCTGTGAGTGTCACCGTCCCGAAGCCCACAGCAGCTGGGCAGAGGCAGGGAGGGGCCCTGAGGCTGAGCGTGTGCATCTATGAGTACAGGAGAACGCCAGGCAGCTTGGCCCCAGCCATGAGCACCACCCCCACCTTCCTAAAGGGAACGGCTGGCTCAGGGGCCCCCTCCCTCAACCCAGCCTCCCTTCCAGCGTCCCCTCCCCAGTGACCCCCCAACATCCCCCCCACAGCATCCCCCACAAGGGTCCCCTCCCTAGTGACCCCTCCACAACATCCCCCCAGAGTCCCCTCCCAGCATCCCCACTACAGCATCCCCCACCAGGGTCCCCTCCCCAGCGACCCCAACATAGCATCCCCTCCAGAGTCCCCTCCCCCAAAAGATGCCTCCACATAGCATCCCCCTCAGAGTTCCTACACACAGCATTCCCCAAGGGTTCCCTCCCCAATGTCCTCCCCACAGTTATCCCCCAGAAGGTGCTCTGTGCCTCCAAATCCCTAGCCTGGCCAAGGGTTTAACCAGGGCTGCAGGTTGGTCTGGAACTGAGCACAAAACAAGGGATGGATAACGATGGATGGATGGGCAAGTGGATGGGGGTGGGCAAATGGATGGATGGGAGGATGGGTGATGGATGGATGAGTGAATAGAAGAGTGGGTGGATAGAAGATGGATGAATGGATGGATTGCTGGATGAGTGGGTGGGTGGATGGATAAGTGGATACATGGGTGAATGAGTAGATGTATGGGTGAGTAGGTGGGTAGGTGGGTAGATGGATGGGTGGGTGGGCGAGTGTGTGGTTAGATGATGGATGGCTGAATGGATGAGTGGGGGGATGGATGGGTGAGTGGGTGTATGTATGGATGGGTTAGTGGGTGGGTGGATGAATGGATGGGTGCATAAAGGATGGATGGATGAATGAGTTAGTGGGTTGGCAGATGGATGGATGGGTGAGTCAGTGGATAGATGGATGGGTGGGTGGATAGAGGATGGATGGTTGGGTAGGTGATGGGTGGATGAGTGGATAGATGGGTATGTGAGTGAGTGGGGGGATGGGTAGGTGGGTGGATGGATGGTTAGGTGAATGAGTGGATGGACAGACGGACAGTGGGTGGATGGATGAGTGAACGGATGGACCGATGGATGAATGGGTGGGTGGGTAGAGGATGGACGGACAGGTGAGTGGGTGGGTGGATGGATAGATGGGTAAGTGAGTGGATAGATAGATGGGTGGGTGGACAGAGGATGGGTGGATGAATGGATGGGTTAGTGGGTGGCTGGGTGGATGGATGATGGATGGGTGACTGGGTGGATGGATGGATGGGTTAGTGGGTGGCTGGGTGGATAGATGGATGGGTGATTGGGCGAATGGGCGAATGGGTGGATGGGTGGGCGTGGAGTTGGTGGGTACATGATAATGGGGTGGAATACCCATGGATTGGAATGAGCTGTTTTGGCTGCTATTTCTGGGACACCCAGCTCTGCCAGGCCCCTACCCCTCTGGTGGGCCAGGCTCTGACGGTGGCCACTCATGGCCTTTCTAGCTCTGGTGCCAGCATAGGGAAGGAGGAGGCACAGCCTTGTCTTACTCCTTGCACCTGTTAGCCCCCCCCCCCGCCAAGGGAGGACCCGTGGTTGGGGACAGCACAGGGGGCCCTGCTGTGTGCAGGGACTGTCCCTGGGGCCACTGAAGCCCACCTGTTCTTGTTCCTTCTCAGGCGGATCCTGGTCCCCCTGGTGAGCCAGGCCCTCGGGGGCCAAGAGGAGTCCCAGGACCCGAGGTAGGTTGGTGGCCAGTCCCCATGCCCTCCCCCCAACCTGCCAGGCCAACACACACCCAAGCCTCGTGGTTCTGCCCACGGTGGACCCACGTATCAGTGGGCAGTGGCCTGGGAGAGACTCAGCCACCCAGCCTTGGCCCCAGAGTCTCAGCCTCATCCTTCCTTCCCCAGGGTGAGCCCGGCCCCCCTGGAGACCCCGGTCTCACGGTAGGTGTCACATGGGGCAGAACCAGTGTCCTTCTCCTGCCAAAACTAGACACCAAGAGCAGCAGGGGTGGGGGAAGGTCAGCTGGCACGGTCAGAGAGCAAGATCAGTGGAGGAGGTCAGAGGGCAAGGTCAGAGAGCAAGCTTGGTTGGGGAAGGTCACAGGGCAAGGTTGGTGGGGGGAGGAGGGTGGCAGCGAGGTTGGTAGGGACAGGACCCGCCAGCCTCCCCGCATGGCTGCCTCCACACGTGGGCTGGAATGTCCCGGGACCCCCAGGCCAGGACCTTGCTGTGGAAACTCTTCTGGGGCCCCGGGGGGACTACCCTGCCTGCCGTGTGCATTGCAGGAGTGTGACGTCATGACCTACGTGAGGGAGACCTGCGGGTGCTGCGGTGAGGCACTGCCCACGGCAGGGTCGGGGCCCATGCACCGGGTGGAGGGCGGGAGTGCAGCAGGGCTGGGTCATCGCTGGGTCCTGCATGTGCACGTGACCCTAGGGTCTGAGGTCTCCCCGGTACCCCCCGATGACCCTGCCACCCCCCCAGACTGTGAGAAGCGCTGTGGCGCCCTGGACGTGGTCTTCGTCATCGACAGCTCCGAGAGCATTGGGTACACCAACTTCACACTGGAGAAGAACTTCGTCATCAACGTGGTCAACAGGCTGGGTGCCATCGCTAAGGACCCCAAGTCCGAGACAGGTCAGCGGGGCAGGGGCGGGTGCAGCATTGCGGGGGGCCGGGCGGGGCGTGGGAGGCGATGAGATGGGAGAAGTCCAGACGCGTCCCTCCAACGAGGGCCTCTGCATGGCTGGGGATGCCCCAGACCCCGAGGCCTCTGGCAACGACCTCACGCGTGCGGCTTGCAGGGACGCGTGTGGGCGTGGTGCAGTACAGCCACGAGGGCACCTTTGAGGCCATCCAGCTGGACGACGAACGTATCGACTCCCTGTCGAGCTTCAAGGAGGCTGTCAAGAACCTCGAGTGGATTGCGGGCGGCACCTGGACACCCTCAGCCCTCAAGTTTGCCTACGACCGCCTCATCAAGGAGAGCCGGCGCCAGAAGACACGTGTGTTTGCGGTGGTCATCACGGACGGGCGCCACGACCCTCGGGACGATGACCTCAACTTGCGGGCGCTGTGCGACCGCGACGTCACAGTGACGGCCATCGGCATCGGGGACATGTTCCACGAGAAGCACGAGAGTGAAAACCTCTACTCCATCGCCTGCGACAAGCCACAGCAGGTGCGCAACATGACGCTGTTCTCCGACCTGGTCGCTGAGAAGTTCATCGATGACATGGAGGACGTCCTCTGCCCGGGTGAGCGTGTGGGCGCGGGGCAGTCGGCCGAGGAGCAGCAGGCCCCAGCCGCTGTCTAGCGTGAGCCCCAGGGACACCCCTCACCTGAGGGATGAATGTGCAGCCCAGGATCTTGGGCTGTGGGTGGGAAGGGGTCGGGCCCTCTCGGGGCTGCAGGGCAGAGGCCAGCTGCACCCTGAGCCTGTCTAGGCAGATCAGTGAACGGCCGCTGAGGGTTCGCTAGGGACTGACCCTGGCCTGGCCCGGCCTCTCTCCTCTCTTCCAGACCCTCAGATCGTGTGCCCAGACCTTCCCTGCCAAACAGGTAATGCAGGGCACCCTGAGCCACCACCCCAGACTAGCAAAGCAGCCCTGGTGTCCTTCCTCCTCGAGGGCCGGGCTGGGGGAGGGGCCGTGCAGGGACCCGGGGGGCGGCGGAGCCACTGCGGAGGCTGCTCCTTAGGGAGATGGCCCCAGGATGGCAGCACAGGGGAGGAGGGGCTTGGGGAAGGCAGGCTCCCAGGAACGCAGGAACAGCATCACGAGGCCATGAGGTGGGTGCTGCTAGCCTGGCGCTGTGCTCGGCATGTGGCCACTGGTCTTGAAGGCCCACCATGGGCCTTGCAGTCTCCCTCAGCTGCCGCCCAGCTCCCATGGGCTGGCCGTGCATGTGCCACTCGGAGGAAGCCCTGGATTCAGTGAGTGAAACCATCCCGGGGTGGAAGCACTGACACCCCCCAGCACCAGCAGGTCTTGCTCCAACCCTGGCCTGCCTCGGAGCTGCAGCTGCGGCTCTCACATCTCTGGGAGTGGGGGAGCCCATGTCCCGGATGTGGCCCACGTGGGTGTGAAGCTGGAGCTGGGGGTGCCGTCCAGGCTCTGCTGGACGTGGTGCTGCCCCCATGGTGCACTGCTGCACCGTACCTGGGCCCACAGGAGGTCCCCGGGGGCGTTAGGAGCTGAGTCCCCCTCAGTGAGCCGTCCCCTCCAGGAGTGTGAGGGTAGGGATGCCATGGAGACAGGGTGGGAGGGTCCGACCTGGAGGACCACAGGGAGGAAACCTCAGGGTCTGCGGTACGAAGTCAGCGCTTCCTCAGCACGCGGGTCGCGGTGTGCGTTCGGGCGTTCCATGGGGAGCTCCCGGTGGGTGAGCTGGGCCACTGAGCACATTCACAGGCCCTGAGGCTGCCCCAGGGGAGGAGCCGTGGACTCAGAGCCGAGGTTCCCCATACGTGCTGCGACAGAGAACCTAGGGCTTGCACCTGGGTCTGGCTGCCCTTCAGCAGGCGGGCAGCCTCTGGCCCCACAACAGTGGGCTGTGCTTCTGCCGCCAAGGTGCAGGCGTCCTCCCCCAGGGTCCACATCAGCAGCAGGGGCACCTGGACCCTGAGGGCAGGAACCAGACCTTGGCTCCTCCACCCACCCCCTCGTTCCTGATGGGGCAGGGAAGTCTCGGGACCCCATGATGGGCGACATGGCGATGGTCACTGTGGGTGCTTTGCTATCAGGTGGGGGGCCTTCCTCTCCACTCTGGGTCCAGTGTGAGTGGCCGCTATGGCTTCCCCTCCACTCCAGGTTCTATCGTGAGTGGGTGGGTGCTGCGTCTGTGGATGTCACGTGACCTTTCCTCTTTAGCCTATCATTGTAGTTGGGAGTTAGTTAGCCCGTTGAGCGTCATTGAATTTCCAGTGTTGAGCCAGCCCTGCGTGCCCGGGATAAACCCACCTGGCCGTGGTGTGTGGCCCTGTTTATGCACGTGGGCCCTGATTCGCTGATGCCTGCCTGAGGGTTTGCGCTTATCGGCGACATCAGCCTGCACTTTTCTTTTCTCGTGATCTCTCTGGTTCTGGCCTCAGGGTGACGTGGGCCTCGTAGGGTCCTGTGGTGGCTCCTCCCCAGACGGTGACATGGAGTGAGCCCATTCTCCCTCCTGGGAGTGGGTCACTCAGGCCACCAGAGCACCACAGGGAAAGCAGCCAGGGAGGACACGGAGGCCCTTGAAGCTCTGGCCTCTTCTGAGGCCTCCAGGACCTGACAGTGAGTGGGAGCAGCCCTGGCAGAACCCCTCCCCTCCTCTCGGCCGCCCTGACACCTCATCCCCGACACTCAGAGCTCATCCTCCTTCCCAGCTGTTTCCAATTTCAAAGTGAACTCGACCTTGTGGCTCCAGGAGATGCAGCAGGGACAGTGTTAAATCGGCTTTCACCAGCCCACACGGCCAGGCATCCTCCTCGGCCCTCCTGGGCACTGGGTGGACACCACTGGCTGTGGCCTGGCCCTGGCCTTCTCCAGACAGCCCTGTCCACCCCAAAGCCCAGCCACCCTGGGCCTGCAGCAGGCCTGTGGAGTTCTCAGTTGCGTGGGGACCAGAGGGTGCTGGAGAAACAAACCAGACGCAGCTGAAGGCAGTCAGGGCAGGGCGCAATCAGCGATAAGAGCTGCATAGGGGCCACAGCGTAACCTGAGCTCCAGTCGGTGGAAAGAAAAGGCAGAGACGTTGCAGAGGCCAGGTCTGCTCAGGGGAAGACAGTTCTGGGTGTAGAGGACTCACATCCCAGAGAGGCTGAGGAAGGGTTTACCACCGCAAGCTTTCTCAGGCGGGCTCTTGAGGGGTGGCTGGGGTCTTCCTGGCGACGGGCCTGCGGCACTGGAAGCCCTACTGGAGTTTGGCCTGTCTCCGGCACAGGTTTGGACGGAGCTGTTTTGTGCTGAAAGGTTTTCTCGGGGTCCGTGGTGTCCCCCAAAGGTGCCACCGTGCGGGTCTCCTAGCTCCCTGCCAGCTTCCTGTCCCTGTGCTCACTGCCCCCACGCCTCCTGCCAAGGCCGAGCCACACACCCGCTCCACCTGCATTTCCTCTACCGACTCGCCAGCCCAAATGCCGCTCTTCACTCTGGCCTCGCTGAGCGGCTGCCCGAGGAGGAGCTCTAGGCCGACGCCCACCGCAGGCCTTACAGTCTTCTCTGGACGCTCCCTTGCAGATGCACCGTGGCCTGGCGGCGAGCCCCCGGTCACCTTCCTCCGCACGGAAGAGGGGCCGGACGCCACCTTCCCCAGGACCATTCCCCTGATCCAACAGTTGCTAAACGCCACGGAGCTCACGCAGGACCCGGCCGCCTACTCCCAGCTGGTGGCCGTGCTGGTCTACACCGCCGAGCGGGCCAAGTTCGCCACCGGGGTAGAGCGGCAGGACTGGATGGAGCTGTTCATTGACACCTTTAAGCTGGTGCACAGGGACATCGTGGGGGACCCCGAGACCGCGCTGGCCCTCTGCTAAAGCCCGGGCACCCGCCCAGCCGGGCTGGGCCCTCCCTGCCACACTAGCTTCCCAGGGCTGCCCCCGACAGGCTGGCTCTCAGTGGAGGCCAGAGATCTGGAATCGGGGTCAGCGGGGCTACAGTCCTTCCAGGGGCTCTGGGGCAGCTCCCAGCCTCTTCCCATGCTGGTGGCCACCGTGTCCCTTGCTGCGGCTGCATCTTCCAGTCTCTCCTCCGTCTTCCTGTGGCCGCTCTCTTTATAAGAACCCTGGTCATTGAATTTAAGGCCCACCCCAAGTCCAGAATGACCTCGCAAGACCCTTAACTCACTCCCGTCTGCAGAGTCCTTCTTTGCTGCATCAGGTCACCCTCACAGGCTCCAGGGTTTGGGTGTGGAAGTCTTTGGAGGCCCTTACTTAGCGGCCCAGCTGGGCTGCCGTGCGTCTGGGATGGGGCTGAGGGAGGGTGCTGCCCAGGTGCTGGAGGATGTTCCAGCACCAGGTTCCAGCGGAGCCTCGGAAACAGGCCCCAGAGGCTGGTGAGCCTCGCTGGGTGTGGGCACTAATCCCGTGCATGGTGACTCGTGGGCGCTCACGGCCCACCTGGTGGCAGGTGAAGGCTTCCGGTTGGGCAGCAGATAGTCCTGGGGGAAGCTGGCAGTCCTGGCACCATGACGTATCTGGGCTGGTGTCATGCACAGTAGGGCGAATGGCCACAGCTGCCTGCCAGCAGCCCTGATCCCGGGGTGTCTGCACCCTTCCAGCCCAACCTCTGGGTCTCCAAAAGCACAGTCGGGGGAGCATCCACCAGGCACAACCTCTGCGGTCCTCAGAGGACTGAGCAGAGAATCCCAGGGTCCACAATGTTGGGGAGCGGCAGGGATCACCATCCAAAGGGAGCGGCCCCCACGGCGAGCTGACCCCGACGTTCTGACTGCAGGAGCCCTCATCCAGGCTGGGCTCCTGCCGGGCACGGCTGTGACCATTTCTCAGGGCCAGGTTCTCGTCCCCACACCCACTGCACAGGGCAGGCCAGGCTGGTCTTCCCACTGTGGGGATGAAGGATCCTCCACAGGAGGAGGAGAGCAGAGTCCACAGACATCCCAACAGCCTCAGCCTCCCTGTGCCTGGCCGGCCCCCACAGCTTCCCCGTCTCCTCCAGGCCCCACAGACACTGATGAATGGACAGAGACCCCCAAAACCAGCTGCCCCTTGCATGTCTGTCTCCATATGTTTGGTGACAGCAGTGAAAATGTTATTAGTTTTGAGGGGGTTTGGGAAGCCCAGCGGTACCTGAGGAGTTTCTGGACATTTAAGCCGGTTCCTAGGTGTGGCCTTAACAGGGAGGCTGCCCTTCCTTTCACTGAATGAGCTGCGTCACTCATAAGCTCACTGAGGGAACCCCATCTGCCAGCTCGTGCGTGCTCAGACGGCGTCCATGTCTCAAGCGTTCTGTGAAGGCTGCGGTGCAGCGTGAGGTCACCCTGCTGTGTTCAGAGCTTTGCTCACTGCCTGCGGGGCTGGACCGTTGCACCTCCAGGGCCCCCAGAAACCGAGTTTCGGGTCAGGGTCCTCTGTGTGCATTCCTGGGGGTCCATGTACCAGCTGTGACGACGTCCAGGGGTTGGGCTGAGAAGCAGACACCCTTGGGGAAACTGGCTCTGTCCCTCCCCTCCCCCATCCCAGGAGCTGAGGTCTTGGTGAGGCCACAGGGCCAGGTCCACGCAAGGACTGTCCGTGTCCTGTCCTGTGGTCTCTGGCCCCACGTGACACCCACACGTGTGGTAGGCAGCCTGGCCTGGGTTGTGGCTATGGCCAGGCCCCCAAGCTGTCCCCGATGCCCAGGGCTGGTGACCACCCAGGCAGGTGGGGGCCCCACTTGGTAACAGAGTCATAGGGCAGAACCCACCTGGGCTGCCACAGAAGGTCTGGCTGCCCCTGTGCCCACTGCTCCCCACCATGGCCAATCAGAAGAGTCAGGGGCTCCTGGTCTTTCCGGGAGGGACGTGGCCCAGCCAGCTCTAGGTGTTCTGAGCAGCTCTGGGACCCAGCGATTGAGGGGTCAGGCTGGGGGTGTCAGAGCCAGGGTCCTCCTTAAGTACCTCCCACACTACACAGACAGTGGCCCTTTTGTGGGCAGCAAATTCTTGAGCCATGAAAGGATGCTTTGGGCCCCTTCCCTCCCAGGAGGGCAGCCTGTGCAGGGATGGTGCTCAGCAGGTGGACAGGGCCTGGGGCCTGTGTCAGGGTCTCAGGCCTGGGAGCACCAGCAGAGGAGATGGCGGCTCCCAGCAGTGCCGCCTGAAAGTGTCTTGGGCTAAGGACCCACACCCAGGGCTGCCCTGCAGAAACGCCCCCGCAGAGCCCAGTGGTCTGTGAGGTTGCAGGCAGGGTGCGAATGGAAGGGCACAGGTGCGGGGCTGGCACCTGCCCGGTCCTGCCCACCTCCCCTCCGCCCAGCCCGCACCTGCGTCTCCCCACAGAGCTGTCCGTGGCACAGTGCACGCAGCGGCCCGTGGACATCGTCTTCCTGCTGGACGGCTCCGAGCGGCTGGGTGAGCAGAACTTCCACAAGGCCCGGCGCTTCGTGGAGCAGGTGGCGCGGCGGCTGACGCTGGCCCGGAGGGACGACGACCCTCTCAACGCACGCGTGGCGCTGCTGCAGTTTGGTGGCCCCGGCGAGCAGCAGGTGGCCTTCCCGCTGAGCCACAACCTCACGGCCATCCACGAGGCGCTGGAGACCACACAATACCTGAACTCCTTCTCGCACGTGGGCGCAGGCGTGGTGCACGCCATCAATGCCATCGTGCGCAGCCCGCGTGGCGGGGCCCGGAGGCACGCAGAGCTGTCCTTCGTGTTCCTCACGGACGGCGTCACGGGCAACGACAGTCTGCACGAGTCGGCGCACTCCATGCGCAAGCAGAACGTGGTACCCACCGTGCTGGCCTTGGGCAGCGACGTGGACATGGACGTGCTCACCACGCTCAGCCTGGGTGACCGCGCCGCCGTGTTCCACGAGAAGGACTATGACAGCCTGGCGCAACCCGGCTTCTTCGACCGCTTCATCCGCTGGATCTGCTAGCGCCGCCGCCCGGGCCCCGCAGTCGAGGGTCGTGAGCCCACCCCGTCCATGGTGCTAAGCGGGCCCGGGTCCCACACGGCCAGCACCGCTGCTCACTCGGACGACGCCCTGGGCCTGCACCTCTCCAGCTCCTCCCACGGGGTCCCCGTAGCCCCGGCCCCCGCCCAGCCCCAGGTCTCCCCAGGCCCTCCGCAGGCTGCCCGGCCTCCCTCCCCCTGCAGCCATCCCAAGGCTCCTGACCTACCTGGCCCCTGAGCTCTGGAGCAAGCCCTGACCCAATAAAGGCTTTGAACCCATTGCGTGCCTGCTTGCGAGCTTCTGTGCGCAGGAGAGACCTCAAAGGTGTCTTGTGGCCAGGAGGGAAACACTGCAGCTGTCGCTCGCCCACCAGGGTCAATGGCTCCCCCGGGCCCAGCCCTGACCTCCTAGGACATCAACTGCAGGTGCTGGCTGACCCCGCCTGTGCAGACCCCACAGCCTTGATCAGCAAACTCTCCCTCCAGCCCCAGCCAGGCCCAAAGTGCTCTAAGAAGTGTCACCATGGCTGAGGGTCTTCTGTGGGTGGACGCATGATTAACACTAGACGGGGAGACAGCAGGTGCTGAGCCTGTTGTGTTCTGTGTGGAGATCTCAGTGAGTTTTTGCTGTTCAGACCCCAGGGTCCTTCAGGCTCAGCTCAGGAGCCCCACAGTGAACCAGAGGCTCCACAGGCAGGTGCTGACCTGACAGGAGTGGGCTTGGTGGCCATCACAGGGCACCACAGACACAGCTTGAACAACTACCAGTATCGGCCACAGGCCTGGAGGCATCAGCCGGGCCATGCTTCCTCTGGAGGGCTAGAGGAGGACTAGAGAAGGGCCTGCCCCGGCCTCTCCCCAGCATCCCAGGGTTCCTGATCTCCTGGATAAGGATACAAGTCACCACACTGGACTGGGGCTCAGCCTGCTCTAGAATACCTCACCTAAGTCACAGTGGACCAGGCTCAGCCTGCTCTAAGGTGAGCTTACCCGAGACACTGGACCAGAGATCAGCCTATCCTGGGATAAGCTCACCCGAGTCACACTGGACCAGGGCTCAGCCTATTCCGGGATGAGCTCACCCGAGTCACACTGGACCAGGGCTCAGCCTATTCTAGGATGAGCTCACCCGAGTCACACTGGACCAGGGCTCAGCCTATTCCGGGATGAGCTCACCCGAGTCACACTGGACCAGGGCTCAGCCTATTCCGGGATGAGCTCACCCGAGTCACACTGGACCAGGGCTCAGCCTATTCCGGGATGAGCTCACCCGAGTCACACTGGGCCAGGGCTCAGCCTATTCTAGGATGAGCTCACCCAAATCACACTGGACCAAGGCTCAGCCTGCTCTAGAATACCTCACCTAAGTCACACTGGACCAGGGCTCAGCCTGCTCTAAGGTGAGCTCACCCGAGACACTGGGCCAGAGATCAGCCTACTCTGGGATGAGCTCATCCGAGTCACACTGGGCCAGGGCTCAGCCTATTCCAGGATGAGCTCACCCGAGTCACACTGGACCAGGGCTCAGCCTATTCTAGGATGAGCTCACCAGAGTCACAGTGGACCAAGGCTCAGCCTGCTCTAGGATGACCTCACTGGAGTCACACTGGACCAGGACTCAGCCTATTCCAAGATAACCTCACCCAAGTCACACTGGACCAAGCTCACCCTGCTCCAGGATGATCTCACCTGAGCTCACTGCATCTGCAAGGACCCCATTTCCAAACAAGGTCACATCCAGAGGTCTGGGGCTTAGGGTTAGGGGTTGGGGTTGGGGTTGGGGGTCAGGGGTCAGGGGTCAGGGGTCAGGAGTCAGGGTCAGATTTAGGGTCAGGTTTAGGGTCAGGGTCAGGTTTAGGGTCAGGGTCAGGTTTAGGGTCAGGGTCAGGGTCAGGGTGAGGGTGAGGGTCAGGTTTAGGGTCAGGGTGAGGGTGAGGGTGAGGGTGAGGGTGAGGGTCAGGTTTAGGGTGAGGGTGAGGGTGAGGGTGAGGGTCAGGTTTAGGGTGAGGGTCAGGTTTAGGGTCAGGGTCAGGGTCAGGGTCAGGTTTAGGGTCAGGGTGAGGGTGAGGGTGAGGGTGAGGGTGAGGGTCAGGTTTAGGGTCAGGGTCAGGGTGAGGGTCAGGTTTAGGGTGAGGGTCAGGGTCAGGGTCAGGGTCAGGGTCAGGAGTCAACATGTGAAACTGGGGAAATGCAGTTCACTCTGGATACCCTGAAACTTTGTTGTCCTTTGAAAAGACTCACTCTTTTCTTCATACTCCACCGCTCTGTCATCTGACCACACAGCCTGCAGCTCCAGGGGAGTACGTCAGTTATTTTCTCTTCCTTTCCTCCTTTTCCCATCCCACAAAAAAACTACGCAAATGCCAGCAGGAGATGCAGAAGAGGCCCGCCTGTTTTGCTAAGCCCCTGCGCCCTGAGTGTCAGCCCTCAGATCTCTGTGCTCCAGGTGAACACCGCGGGTCCCGCAGGTGGAGGGAGGCAGAGGCCCCTGCAGGTGCACAGGCTCCACCCACAGGAGCTACACAGGAGCTGCCCAGGGCCTCTGCAGGGAGAGGGCGCTCCCCTCTCTCGTGCCAGCTCCCACGTGTGCAGCCTCGGACCCTGCAGGGCAGGAACGTCAGTCCCACTGGAAGGGACTTCCAGCTACCTACAGGCTCTACCCACAGCTCCACCCAGCAACTGCCGCTCACCATTGGCCCTTCACCAATTACACCACACCAGCATCCCCTCACCAGCATCCCTCACAAATGTCCCCTCATGGTCCCAACACCAATGTCCCCTCAAATGTCCCCTCATGGTCCCAACACCAATGTCCCCTCACAAATGTCTCCTCCCTCACGGTCCTAACATCAATGTCCCCTCACAAATGTCCCCTCATGGTCCTAACACCAATGTCCCCTCATGGTCCCAACACCAGTGTCCCCTCACAAATGTCCCCTTCATTGTCCCAACACCAATGTCCCCACACAAATGTTCCCTCACGGTCCTAACACCAATGTCCCCTCACAATGTCCCCTCATGGTCCCAACACCAATGCCCCCTCACCGTCCCAACACCAATGTCCCCTCACAAATGTCCCCTCACCATCCCCAACACCAATGTCCCCTCACCAATGTCCCCTCCCAGCCTTCCCTCCTGAGTCCCCTCCCCAGTCTCCCCTCCCAGACTCCCCTCCCAGCCTCCCCTCCCCAGCATTCCCTCCCAGCCTCCCCTCCCCAGCGTTCCCTCCCAGCCTCCCCTCCCAGCCTCCCCTCCCCAGCGTTCCCTCCCAGCCTCCCCTCCCCAGCCTCCCCTCCCCAGCGTTCCCTCCCAGCCTCCCCTCCCAGCATTCCCTCCCAGCATTCCCTCCCAGTCTCCCCTCCCCGGCACCCCCTCCCTGTCACCCCCTGCCGGCCGGATATGTAGGAACCTTTCATGCTGAGTGATGATGGCCCTGTACCCACACACACCTTGGGTGTTTTTTCTCCCTGTAGGATTCTTGTCATTTGTCTTGGATGATGACATCTTTTTTCATGAACAAGTATGTTCTATTTTCAGAATGGGAAATCTCTCCAATAAGGCATTTGAGTTTTCTGCTTCACTCAAGGACACAGTAATCTTCTTTTTAATATCCTGCAGTGCTGACTAACAAATACATTCATACATCATCTGTCACATGTAATAGTCCATCTAGAAGTAATTTGAGAGTATAGTGATTTGCTAAATTATTTTTTAATGGAGAACTTCTCTGGAGACAGGAGGCTGGCTGGGCAGGGAGCTGAGGCAGGGAGGAAAAGTCTCCCAGGAGCCACTGGTTGAAGGGTGGACGGGAACTGAGGACAGGGCCAGTACCGTGCTCTGTGGAACTGTCCAGACCTGCCGGGAGCTGCACCTGGGAAGCGAGGCTATCCTTCCAGCGTCGAAGGTCCTGCTGTCCCTGGGGTTTCTGTCCCATGCACAGAACCAGGGCCCCTTTCCCTCAGACAAGGGGCCTCACAGCCCAGGGACCTGCACTGAACCCCAGGTCCTCTGAATACCTGTGACCCTGCCCACTGTGGGCTGCACTGGGTGTCTGGGGACCCTGGCGCTGAGGTCTGTCTCCTCACGCTGCAACCCCATTCCCTCCAACCCTGGCTCCCATGGGCCACTGACCATATGTCCTGCTCCTGCCCCAAGACCCGCAGCTCAGCTCTCAGCCCTGCCCCCAAAACCGCCAACACACAACACAGGTTTGGTGCCAAAACTTTACTGGAGGTCACATGGGACTAGGGGCCTTCTGTCCCTGCCAGCGCCTCCATTCCCAGGCGATGCCCCGCTGCCTGCCCACCTACCCTCCGGGCCCCACACGAACAAGCTGTGTCCCCACCGAGGTCACAGCTCTGCCCTCTGGGGATGGGCGAGGGAGGGGCCACAGAGCCCGGAGAGGCCTCCCGCACCGTCACTCCTGCCGGGTCTCCAAGCAGTCCAGCACCAGTGCAGCCTGGGTCTTGGCTTCCTGCAGGAGGCTGGAAACACGATGGTGGATCTGATGGACACAGGGAAAGAGGGGTCTGGTAGTTCCAGTCTTCAGCCCAGCTTGCTGGGCAGCAACCTCCGACCCCCACTGCCCACAGCCAGTCGGCAATCACCCTGAGGCTGTGAATCCAGGCCCCCACGTGGGGTCCGGGCACCACACCTGCCTCCTGCTCACCTGGTCCTTAAATGCCTCGTCTGTGATGTCCCTCAGGTTGATGAGCACGTTGAAATATGCGCCAAACACGCCCATCTCCAGGGCTTTGGCCGCCACCTGCAAGGACCCCAGGGAGCCCCTACATGGATCAAGGCTGAGCAAACTGCCGGAAGGAGGGTCTCTGCCTGACGGGCTCTGGGACAGGCCGGACTTCGTCCTCCTCCTCACAAGGAGCCCAGCGCAGCCCCCGCTTTCGCCCCACAGAGGGCTAAGCCCCACCACTGAGCTTAGAAAACAAAACTTTCTCTTATCCAAGCAGGGCTCAGCCCCACAGGAGGCCTGGGAGCAGTCACACTGGAGGCTCTCCGCCACTCTAGGAACCAGGACCACAGTTCTAGAGACAAAGTCATCCCCTGGAGGGCCCCCGGAGGCAGCTTCAGGCTAACGGCCCGCCCACTGCCCAGGGACACTTCCCAGGGACTGAGGGGACACTTCTCTGGGACCAGATGCTGAAAAGAGGCGTCTTTCCTATAAAGAACCCGAAGACCATGAGGTCTTAGGGCAGCTGCAGAAAGTGCTGAGCCCATGAGAGAGACGCTCCTTCTCTGGGACCCTCTGCCCAGCTGTGGCCCCTGTCAGTGTGAGGCATCTACTTCCAAGAGCTGCCTTGTGTGCTTTCTCGTGTTTTGTTGTTTTTGACCCAGGGTCTTGCTCTGTCACCAAGGCTGGAGCGCAGTGGTGTGATCACGGCTCACTGCAGCCTTGACCTCCTGTGCTCAAGCAATTCTCCTGCCTCAGCCTCCCAAGTAGCTGGGACCACAGGCACCACCGTGCCTGGCTCATATGTATCTATTGTACAGCCAGGGTCCCACTATGTTGCCCAGGCTGGTCTCGACCTCCTCTATTCAAGTGATCCTCCCGCCTCAGCCTCCCAAAGTGCTGGGACCACAGGCGAGAACCATTGTGCCTGGGCTGACATAGGTGTTTTCTAGAACAAGACAGTGGGGGTGATACAAGGGGTCTTGGGGGAGTATACACTTATACAGTGGTCAGGGTGGGCTCTGCAGACACATTTGGGTCTCCGTCTGTGGTGCCGCCGTGAGCGAGATCTTAGAAGGCAGCGGACACCCCGGCCCTGTTGGAGGAGGCCAAAGCCCCGGGAACTGCCCGTGAAGTGAGGTCTCCCTACCTGGCTCAGCCCAGCCAACCACCGTGCTCTCCAGCAACTCAGCCCCAACAGCTGCTTCCTGCTTTGCGGCAGGAGGCCTGGGGTCCCCCGGGCCCCCCTACCTGGAGGTCTGACCGGCAGGCCAGGTTCCCACACCGGGCCAGTTCCTGCAGGGCCGGCCACAGCGAGGCCACCGTCTCCGCCAGCGTCAGCGGCACAGAGACTGCCCGCCTCAGACCCTCCTGTAGGGCCGCCGTGCGCCTGAAAGGAGCAAGAGGAGAGCCTGAGCACAGCGGCACACACAGGCAGGCAGTGGACACACTGCACCCCAACAGGGCTGAGCAGGCTGCAGAAGCGGGCGATGGGAAGTCATTCCCAAACACCCAGCACGCCCAGGCCAACCACGCCCCGTCACAGCACCCAGGTACTCGGGATCCTGGCCACCAACTCCCCAGACACAGAGGCCCACGGTGCGGCCGGCCCTCCAGGCTCACCTGTCCTTTTCCTCAGGTGTGTTCTTGGGGAGCCTCATTGCTTCCTGCCATAAAGAGACAGAACCACTGGGCGAGGGACCGTAGGGGGAGCAGCCATGCCCTCTGAGCTCCCACAAGGGGCTGTAGCAAGGAGCATGTCCCAGGCAGGGACCAGTTCTCTGGGAACCAAGCTTCTGTTGGGCCAGTGGTTTATAGCCCTTAGCATCAGGCTTGGTGGAGGAGCAGGGTAGGGGGGGTCGGGGCACACAGCAGATGGTCAGAGACCCGGGGATGTGAGAAGCAGGTAGTTCCCTCAGGGCCCTTATTCTCAGCTAAAGAGCCTGAGGGCCCAGGAGGTCCCCTGAGCCCTCAGAACCTGTAGGCAGGAGTGGCTCTGGGCCTGTGTCTCCAACACAAGCAGCTGCACCGCCCCCAAGCCTGGGCATAAGAGGCTCAGACTGTGCAGAAGGACCAAGAGCAAACCTCAAAGCCCCTCATGTCCCTGCCCCGGTCACAGGCACTGGCCTTTCCTAGGTGCTCATGTGTGTAGCTCACGGCGTCACCGTAAGGCACTCGGCTCCTCGGACCCACCCCGTGTGGAAGAGCACAGCTGGGACCACACACCAACCTTCCAAGGACCCACTGGGAGCCCTACTCACACGGACTGTGGCCAGAGCCCTGGCCAAGGGGTTCTCAGTGGGGAATATGCTCACTTCATCTTGGAAGATTCAGCCAACTCTCCACCAGAAAGTCATCATCAACAGCCCCTACCCTCGACCATGGATGAGAGCAAATGCTCCCTGGGCGCCAGCCAGATCTGGATCCTTTGACCATTCCGACAGCAGTGATCGAGGAACAGAAATGCCCAGTGTCTCCCTGACTGGCTGGGGCATCATCCAGACCAGGCCTCCTGGCTGCAGCCCCTCTCCCAGGCTGTCCTCTGCACAAGGGTCTGTAGCAGTTGCAGGCGGAGGCAGGACAGCCATCCTCAAGCTGCGACTCGCGCTACGAACACTCTCTCACACCCAGGCCTTGCGGTGTCCATGGTCTCCCTGGGCAGATCTTGGCCAAGGGTGTGCTTTAGGTGGCCTCATCTGCGTCCGGCCGAGGCCTGCCCGCCCGGTCCGTTTTGTTTTCTGTGATTTATCGTGAGGCTTGGTTGTGTTGGTGGTGGGGAAATACAGTTTTCTATTCCATCTGGAAATTACTTATGTATTTGGTGCAAGGTACAGATATCTCCTTATGTTTTTCAAAAGTCGACCTTTGCATTGCTCAGAGGGAGCATAAACCAATCCAGCACTCCCCGTCCACCTTCACATTGCTCACAGGGAGTGTACACCAACCCAGCACTCCCCGTCCACCTTCACGTGCCTCACAGGGTGCGTAAACCAATGCAGCACTCCCCGTCCACCTTCACATTGTTCACAGGGAATGTAAATCAACCCAGCCCTCCCCGTCCACCTTCGCATTGCTCAGAGGGAGTGTAAACCAACCCAGCACTCCCCCGTCCACCTTCACGTGGCTCACAGGGAGTGTAAACCAATCCAGCACTCCCCGTCCACCTTCGCGTGGCTCACAGGGAGTGTAAACCAACCCAGCACTCCTCGTCCACCTTCACATTGTTCGCAGGGAATGTAAATCAACCCAGCCCTCCCCGTCCACCTTCGCATTGCTCAGAGGGAGTGTAAACCAACCCAGCACTCCCCGTCCACCTTCACGTGGCTCACAGGGAGTGTAAACCAATCCAGCACTCCCCCGTCCACCTTCACGTGGCTCACAGGGAGTGTAAACCCACCCAGCACTCCCCGTCCACCTTCACGTGGCTCACAGGGAGTGTAAACCAATCCAGCACTCCCCGTCTGCCTTCACATTGCTCACAGGGAGCGTAAACCAACCCAGCACTCCCCGTCCACCTTCACGTGGCTCACAGGGAGCGTAAACCAATCCAGCACTCCCCGTCAGCCTTCACATTGCTCACAGGGAGCGTAAACCAATCCAGCACTCCCCGTCTGCCTTCACATTGCTCACAGGGAGCGTAAACCAATCCAGCACTCCCCGTCCACCTTCACGTGGCTCACAGGGAGCGTAAACCAATCCACTGATTTCGACCACTGATGCCTAGCACAGTCTCACTGTCCCCGCTCATGGTTCTCTAAACCACACGTCTTGTTTCCTTCCTGTCCCTTGATTACATTTTCATCTATGTACTTTTCCTACTTGTTTTTTAATTATTCACCTTATTTTAAATTTCTAAACATAAAATTGTTCCTATGTTTTATATACATATGTTTACATTAGAGACAGGGTGTCGTTCTGTTGCCCAGGCTAGAGTGCAGTGGTGCAATCACGACTCACTGCAGCCTCAAACTCCTGGCCTCAAGCTACCCCCACTTAAGCCTCCTGAGTAGCTGGGACCACAGGTACCTGCTACCACGCCTGGCTTTATTTTTTTTTTTTCTTTTTGGGTGGGTAAATACAGGGTCTTGGTGTGTGGTCTAGGCTGGTTTCAAACACCTGAGCTCAAGGGATTTGCCCACCTTGGTTTTCCAAAATGCTAGGATTACAGGTGTGAGCTATCATGCCTGGCCTATTTCTAATATTTATACTTAAATTCATGACTGTCTTCAAATGCCTGTCCGGGTCTAAAGTTCATCAACCCATTAAAGTATAGAAAAGATCATCTTGTTCTGGGGAGGCCATTTGAACTGTGATACAAGACCCAAAAAATATAAAGTCAGGATTGACACATTCCACGACATAAAGATTAAGAGTCATTGTCAGAAGCCCCACACGCAAAGTCCAAAGACGAACAACAAACGGGGAAAGCTGAGCCCAGAACAAGGCCTGCCTCCCCTATTAAAAAAAAAAAATACTAGAAGGCAGCGAAAGCCCCAAGAGAAACTAAGATAAAAGGAGTCAAAAAATATTCACCAGATAACTTCCTGGAAAAGAAGTAAAAACCACTGCTAAATGTACGGAACATGCTTAACCTGCCCGGTAATGAGAAGCGCATCCCAGAAAGCAGGGTTCTGCAAGCAGGTGTTGGGTGCCCTGGGCCCCCCCGGGGAGGGGGGTGCTTCCCCCAGTGGAAAACCCAAGGGGCCAGGCTGGGAGCGGGCGGGGCTGTGTGCGAGGGGAAGGAAAGGCGGAGCTCTGAGGCAGCAAGAGAGGCGAGCACTGGGCGGGCTGTGGCGAAGGCGGGGTGAACCCCCGAAGGGCCTATCTACTGTAAAAAGTAAATAAATAAAACCTGAATTTTTAAAATGACTGGAAACGGTGATCAGCGTCTACACCTCCCTGCAAACAGTGTGTCCGGAATTGGTTCCTTCTGATGTTCAGATACGTCCGGAGTTTCTTCCTTCTGGCGGGTTCGTGGTCTTGCCTGACTTCAGGAGTGAAGCCGGAGACCTTCTCAGTGAGCTCTTACAGGTGGCGCGTCGGGAGCTGTTTCTTCCTCCCGGTGAGGCCGCAGACCTTCACAGTGAGCCATAAGCTCTTACAGGTGGCGCGTCGGGAGCTGTTTCTTCCTCCCCGTGAGGCCGCCGACCTTCACAGTGAGCGTTAAGCTCTTACAGGTGGCGCGTCGGGAGCTGTTTCTTCCTCCCCGTGAGGCCGCCGACCTTCGCAGCGAGTGTTACAGCTCTTACAGGTGGCGCGTAGCACAGCTGTTAGCTCCTCCCGGTGGGTTGGTGGTCTCGCTGACTTGAGGAGTGAAGCTACACACCTTGGCAGTGAGTGTTACAGGTCGTAAAGGTAGCGAAGGCCCAAAGAGTAAGCAGCAGCAAGATTTAGTTCGAAGAGCAAAAGAACAAAGCCCCCACAGCTTGGAACAGAACCCGCCACGGTTGGCGCTTGCTGGTTTCGGTGGCCAGCTTTTATGCCCTTATTTGGCCCCGCCCACATCCTGCTGATTGGTCCACTTTACAGAGTGCTGATTGGTCCATTTTACAGAGTGCTGATTGGTCCGTTTTTAAAGAGTGCTGATTGGTGCGTTTACAAACCTTTAGCTAGACACAGAGCACTGACTGGTGCGTTTTTACAATACTTTAGCTAGACAGAGAAGTTCTCCAAGTTCCCACCCCAGTAGCTAGACACAGTGCTGACTGGTGTGTTTACAAACCTTTAGCTAGACAGAAAAGTTCTCCAAGTCCCCACCAGACCCAGAAGCCCAGCCAGCTTCACCTCTCCACAGGACCAGAACGGGACCCTCAGGCGACTCCCTCTGCAAATCCGGGACTGTTTATCCGAGGCCCTCATCTTGGCTCCCTCTGTGCCTGTGTGTGGATTCCACGTGCATTTGGGGCCTGCCTTTCTCACCCAGCCTTGTAAGGTAGACTTCCCAACTTAGGGCTGGGGGTCTTGTGGCCCTCCCAGAAACACAGGCGCCCCCACCGCCCTGCTCCAGAGGCTGGGGCACATGTTTCTCTCTCCCTCCCTCCCACTCTGTCCCTCCCTGTCTCTCTCCCCACCTCCCTCTCTCCCCACTCCCCTCCCTCTCTCCCTACCCCCCCTCCCCATCTCCCTCTTGTGGGCGGCAAGCCAGCCAGGTGCCCAGGCAAGAGACCGAGGGCACGAGCTGTTTTAGTACAATAAAATATATAAAATAACAAGAGTTGTACTAGATATAGATCATAGATATGATTATATATAATTATTAATCATTAGTTTGTAGCAATTACTCTTTAACATTATAATAATCTTTGCTCTGCAATCATAACCTAGGAAAAACCAGGCCATACACAGATAGGAGTTGAAGGGGCACGCTAAAAAGTGACCAAAAAACGAGTGTGAGCTCTTTGTCAGGCCTGGGCAGGGCCACTAGAGGGCTCCTTGGTCTAGCGGTAAGGCCAGCGTCTGGGAAGGCGCCCGTTACCAAGCGGAGCATGGTCTATGGTAGTGTCAGTGCCAAAGAAAAGCATCCGCTACTTAGCAGATCGGAAAAGGCAGTCTCCCTTTCTCCAGGGGAGTTTGAAGAAGACTCTGGTCCACCACCTCTTGTAAAGGGCCCACCCGCAGTTATCCCGAGGCCTAATCGTCTCCCTGTGATGCTGTGCTTTAGAGCTCATGCTCCTGTTTCACTTTTATGTTCCACTCTGTACACCTGGCTCCGCCCTCTAGATAACAGTAGCAAACTTAGTAAAAGTATTAGTCTTTAATCTTTCTAAAAAGAGGATTAAAAAAAATGATGTGAGCTGTCCTCTCTCTCTCTGCCTCAGCTACCTAACAGGGAAGGGGCCCCTGTGCGGTGGACATGTGACTCACGTGACCTTATCAATCATTAAAGATGACTCACACTCTTTACCCTGCCTCTTTTGCTTTGTATCCAATAAATAACAGCGCAGCCAGGCATTCAGGGCCACTACCGGTCTCCGTGTCTTAGTGGTAGTGGTCCCCCGGGCCCAGCTGTCTTTTCTTCTCTTTGTCTTGTGTCTTTATTTCTATAATCTCTCATCTCTACACACGGGGAGAAAAACCCACAGACCCTGTAGGGCTGGCCCCTACACCTCTCTCCCCTCTCTCCCTCTCTCTCCCTCCCTCTCTCTCCACCTACCTCTCTCCCCCCTCCCTCCCTCCCCTCTTTCCCCCTCTCCCTCTCTCCCCTCTCTCCCCCCTCTCCCCCTCTCCCTCCCCTTTCCCTCCTCCCCTCTCCCTCCCTCTCTCCCCCTCTCCCTCTCTCCCCTTTTCCCCCTCCCTCTCTCCCCCCTCCTCCCTCTGTCTCCCTCCCTCTCTCCCTCCCTCTCCCTCTCTCTCTGTCTCTCCCCCTCCCTCTCTCCCCCTCTCCCTCTCCTCCCCCTCCCTCCCTCCCCATCCCTCCCTCCCTCTCTCTCTCCGCCATCTGCCTCTCTCCCCACTCTCCCTCTCTTCTCTCTCCCCTCCCTCTCTCTCTCTTTTCTGCCCTTCCCTCCTGTCCTCTCCTGGGCTGGAACTGCTTGGGAGCATCCTGACCTTGTCACTGCCCTTTCCCAGGCTCTCTGGCCCCTGCCCTAGGCTCTGAGCACCCAGCACCCATCTGTGGGCACATCCTGCCAGCTGATGCTCATGTTCCTGTCCCGTTTGGAGGGAGGTGGGGTCACTGCCTGCCTGAGTGGGTGTTATCTGAAGATGGTGTTTCTGTCTTATGCTGTGGCTGAAACGGGTCGTCTCTGGCCTGCCTGAGAGCACTCATCACTGTGTTCCTGAGATTCTTGCAGGCCTCCTTTCCTGGAATTGCAGGCTTCTAAAGAAGGGCCCTGCCTTGCTCCAGGTCTGTGGGGTCCCCCAAGCCTGGGCTCCTGGCTCCCCTGCTGGGAGGGGCCTGTTCCCTTGTACCGGCTGCCATGGCCTGTGAATGTGGGGTCACCCTGGCCGAACCCTCAAACCCTGCTGGGCCCAAGCACTTGCCGGGGTGAGGGCGGTGCTGGTGGTCAAGGTCCAGACAGCGGCCAGTGGTGACGCCCTCAGGCCCCTCCTGGTCCCCAGCCCCTCCCCAGCCGGAGGCTGACCCGCTTCTCACTGGGGCCCCAGCTGGGGGTTCGCTGTTGGTGGGGCCCGGGGAGCCCTGCTGTGGCCGCCACTCACCAGGTAGGCGGTGAAGGCCTCGGCGTCGGCATCCACCAGCGTGGTTAGCTTGGCCGAAGCCTCGCGGAAGGGCGGGATCAGGCGCCGCATCGTCGTGTCCAGGGACTGGAATTGGCGCCGCCCGTAGGTCATGAGGCCCACCATGGAGCCCAGCGCCGCACCCTGCGAGAGGGGTGGATGTGGGGGTCGCAGGGACCCCAGACGGCCCGGGACCGACCCCAGGAAGAGCCAGGGGCCCGGGTGATCCCTGCGGGGGTCCCACCCGTGTGGCCCCCACGTCTCCACCCAGGGCGGCCCCACCGCGCCCTCCCCACCCCGTGCCCTCCCCCCAACAGCGCCCTTCCCCCTCCCCGCCCTCCCCCCAACAACTGCGCCTCCCCTGCCCCTCCCCCCGCGCTCACCATGGCCGCAGCGGCCGCCGCCACCGAGCCGCCCCCGGGGGCCGCAGAGCGGGCACCCACCTCCCCCACGAAGGCGCGCAGGGACTTGCTGCCCAGGCCTCGCTCAGGCCCGCGCTCAGGGACCAGGTACCTGCAGGGTGGGCGCGGCTCAGCGGGTCTGGCCGGGGTTGGTGGGGGGAGCGCAGTCCTCCCGGGGCGGCCCCAGGCCCCACGCCCGTCTGCACCCACGGGGAGGTGACCACTCGGCTGAGAACCTGCGGGGACCCGGCCGGGGTCTCTGTGCCCCCCTCAGCCCCCAGACCCCGGCTTGGCGCAGGCCGAGTAGGCGCCCAAAGGGAGGCGCTGGGAGGACTCAGCCGGGTCTCCACGCAGGGACCCCAGCGCCCCGCAAGGCCCGAGAGGCAGAGCCCGGGAGGGGTGAGAAGAGGGCGGGAGGGCAGAGGCTCACTCGATGATCCGCTCCTTAGGGCTGAAGGGGCACAGGGAGTCCAGGCCCAGCCGGCTCACCACCTGGAAAAGGGGCTTGGAGTGGAAACGGCCTCGGCGCGTCTCCACCACCAGGAAAGCCTCGGAACCCGCGGGTCCCACCCTTGCGGCAGCCGCCCCCTGCCCCGAGCACACAGGTGCTTTTGCGGGGAGCAGGGCAGGGGCGTGGCTGGCACCCCCCACCTCTGCCCCGCCAGGAGCCCTGTGGGCCCCGCCCCAGCAGGCACCCCGTACAGGCTTCTGGAAACAGCCATCACCCTGAGTTGCCCTTGGGGAACCTGAGGCCCAGAGAAAGGAGTTGCCCCCTGGGGACCCCTCAGCAAACTGCTGCTCATGCTTCGCCGCCCCCCAGCACCACTGCCCCATCGCTGACGGGCGGGAAAGATTTTAATTCACCAAGTCTTCACATCTAACAAGTCCTCAAAAGCTGAGGAACAGCCCCAAGTCACCCACACATAAACTTGTATGCCACAAAAGTGAGTTTTACCTAAATTCAAAATAAAGTTGTGACAGTCCCATTTAAGATTAGAATTCATTCTGGGAAACCCATTCAGAACACGTTGGCTATGCGACCCCCACCCCACCCCACAGAGACGGACAGCAGCCGGGCGGGGTGGAGAGTGCCTCCCCGTGGCATAGAACCAGCAAGCCACAAGGCAAAGCCTCCTTCCGCAGAAAACCCCAGGAAGATGCCGGGCATTTTAAAGGCCTGGCTAAGCTAGCAGACAGGACATCATTCGAAACCAGACACGACCAGAAAGACGAGTCCGGAAAGGCCTGCCAGCCTGGAGCTGGGTCTGCCCTGGGGGCAACTGCCCCTCTCTGGCAGCCCCTGATGAGTGGGGGAGGTCTGGGGCCTTCAGAGTGGGGTCCGACTGGAGACCCCTGGAAGGTGACACCCCCAAGGATGAATTAGAAACAGCCACCCGCCAGAGGAAACAGTTGAGGTACTTCCCAGTCCCTGCCTTCCCTTTGGGTGAAGCAGGAAAAAAAAAAAAATCTCCTGGGAATTCCTAATCACAAGCCACCCTGACAGGGCTGCAGGCCTCACCCGACACCGAATTCACTCTTGTGTGGTTCCAGAACTCCAAGCCAAAAACTCAGCTTCAGGGGGTCCTGTGAGGCAGTGTCCACAAGCGCCAGCACAAACCCTCCTTGGAGGAGAAAACTTTGAACCCAGGTGTCCAAGAATTACCATAGATAAAATTCCACAGAGCATGCACTGGCAATCAAAAATCACACAACACAAAGCAAAGCAGCCTCACCACAAGGAGGCAGCACGCAGCCACGGGCACAGCCAGACCTGTGCAGGCCGCAGGCATGGGGCCCTTCAGGTAAAGAAGACAAAACCCCAGCCAGTCACGGTGGCTCACGCCTGTAATCCCAGTGCTTTGGGAGGCTGAGGCGGACGGATCACGAGGTCAGGAGTTCAAGACCAGCCTGGCCAAGATGGTGAAACCCCGTCTCTACTAAAAAAAAAAAATACAAAAATTAGCCAAGTGCGGTGGCACACGCCTGTAATCCCAGCTACTCGAGAGGCTGAGGCAGAGAACTGCTTCAATCCGGGAGGTGGAGGTTGCAGTGAGCCGAGATCACACCACTGCACTCCGGCCTGGGTGACAAAGTGAGGCTCCATCTCAAAAAAAAAAAAAAAAAAGAAGAAGACAAAACGCCACACTGGAAAGCAGACGGGGCCTCACACATAAGAAGACAAGGAAATGTGGAGAAGCGACAGCTGCTGCTTAGACAGAAAGGATGACGTTGGAATGCTGTCACTGGCTCCTAAAACTCTGGAATTTCAGTAATAAACAGGTATTTACCTACTCAATACTTTAAACACCTTCAAGTACTCCCCACAACGTATTAATTGCAAAAGGAAAAATAGTAACATTGCAGTGAAGGGTCCAGGAGGAAGGGGGTCGCCTTGGCAAGTGACGGGTCCACGTCGGCACCCTGAGAAAATGAGCATCATGGGGAGTCGGCGTCTCTGAGGAGGACACAATACCATCTATGCTTTTCCTGCCAAAAATGCGTAACTGGCTGGGCGTGTTGGTGCACACCTGTCGTCCCAACACTTTTAGGAGGCTGACGTGAGTGGATTGCTTGAGTCCAGGAGTTTGAGACCAGCCTGGGCAATAGAGCAAAACCCCATCTGTACAAAATTAGCCAGGACTACATAGTGGTCCTTGCCTGTAATCCCAGCACTTTGAGAGGCTGAGGTGGGAAGATCACCTGAGCCCTGGAGTTTGGGGCTGCAGTGAGCTGTGATTGTGCCACTGCACTCCAGCCTGGGTGACAGAGCAAGACCCTGTCTCAAAAGAAGTAACAAATTAAATTAAAATAAAAATGCACAACTACATCTGGCCACAAGCAACATCAGACTAGTCCCCACTGAGGCGCTTTTAAAAGTCTGTCCTTTGAAACTATGTCAAGGTCAATGAAGGACAAGGAAGACAGGAACAGTTGGAAGAAAGGAGAAAAGGTTGGCTCAGTGCTCTGTGTTACGTGAACTGGATCACGGATTGGAGGAGAAATCGCTATGATGGGAATCACTGGGACACTGAAGCAATTTGATTATGGCCTGAGGATTATTAGATACTAGGATTGTATCAGTGTTGAATTTCCTGATTTTGATAATTACACTGTGGTTATGTAAGAGAATGTCCCTGTTCTTAAGAAACACAGCCTTAATAAATTAGGGGTAAAAGAGTACAATGTCTTCAACCCAACTTTTAAATAGTCCGGAAAAAAATATAATATGATTATACACAAATAAATGGGGCAAAATGCAAGCACTTGGAAAATATGGGTGGGAGGCAGGAGTGGAGGGCCACCTGTATCTTCTCTGTAAGAAATTATACAAAATGTAAAGTCACAAAAAATTTTGTTAACAGCCAAGAATACAACAGACAAGGCCACAAACGCACCAATGATTGAGGCTGGGTTTTGGAAAACCACTGTGAATCCAGAGGAAAGGAGTGGAAGAGAAAGTAAAGACGGAGGCAGAGAAGACATCAAAGCTGCTGCAGCATCACGGGGTCCTACAGCTAGAGAACTAAATAACTGGGTCAGCGATCTAATAGAAGAAAATATGCCCGAGACTAAACAAGGACGGAATCCACAAGTCACGAGAGCTAAATCAGTAAAAACACAAACAGACAAAACGTCCCCAAAAAATCCAGTTAAGTGGATTGTGCTTATTGCGAAAAACACACCTAAAACAAAGTGACCTTGAGTGAAAGGACAGACCAAGGCGGACAGCGGCTCTGCAGTGACCTCGAGTGAAAGGACAGACCAAGGCGGACAGCGGCTCTGCAGACGCTGCCACACCCCAGCAGGACCTGAGGCCCCGGTGGAACCCAGACTCCAGAAGCCTTGAGGCCCAGGTGTCCACAAGACAAAAGGAATCACTTTCTGAAGGAGCCGCTCCGTGGATGGGGATCTAAGTCCCATAGCTAAAGGCACACACATCCATGAGCTGCCAGTTCCAGGGGTGCAGGACGCCCCGATGGAGGTGGTGAGAGGAGGCACAGGCCCCTCCACGGGAGCATGGCCGGCCCAGGAGGCAAGACCAAGCAGAAAGGGTGGGGTGTCCTCTCCGTGGAATTTGCACAGCTGAGCATATCATAGGTCACAAAAAAACCTCAATAAGGTGTCCAAAATAAAAAGTGAAATCTCATCTTCTGAACACAAGTCAATAAAATGAAGGGGGAGGAGGGGGAGGGAAGCTGCGCCCCAGGGCTGTGAGCTCCGCCACCGCCTCCCCACCCTCCCTGCACGCCCCTGTCCGACCCTTCCTCGGCAGCCCGGCCCACCAGCCTGATCCGCTGCTCCTCCTCCAGGATGAAGAGGTTCTCCTTCTCGCAGTAGAAGGCGGCCGCATCCAGCAGAGCCTTCAGGGGCACCAGGCCCACCAGCTGTGAGCCCACCACTGGGAGGCTCAGCTCCTGCCAAGGCACAGGCAGCGTCACCCCCTGGGGGCTGGCTGGAGAATGGCCCTGGCTGGAGGATGTGGGGCCCCCGCCCTGCCCACGGGACAGATCGGCTCGCCCCTCACAGCAGCAGCGGCTGCTCCCGGGCTCACCTGTGCTTCTCGGCAGGTCTCCTCGTAGACCGTGTGCAGTGCCGTGACCTCAAAGTCCAGAAGATTGGTGGACACCTGAGCCAGGTTCTTCTCATCCAGGTACCAGCCAATGCCCTGAACTTTCTTCAGACGTCCTGGCTGCAAAGGAAGAGCGTTCCCCAGCCTGGACTAGGAAGCTCATCCTGCCTGGCCCTGCCAGTCTCTCCTGGCACTTGCATTCCCCAGCTGGACGGGGAGGAGCCTGTGCCTGGGTGGGTGCTGTGGTTCTCCTCCGTCCCTCACTGAGCTGGCCGGGGAGGGCCAGAGAAACTTCGCTTGCCACAGGGAAACGGAGGCCCCAAGGGTCAGACACCGGAGGCCCACCCCGGCAGGCCCCCGCCCAGCCTAGGCCCTGCCTTCCAGCCACGCTGTGTCCTAGATGTTGGGGGAATGCTGAGGGGTGGGGCCCCAGGCACCCCCATGCCGTTCTCCCATCCCATCTGCTCCGCTCCCGACAAGTCCCCTCAGCCCCGCACTTGTCGGGGTGACTGAGTCCACGTGGGGGGACTCTGACCTCTGCCCTTGGCCGGGGCCTAAAGCAGGACTTAGAGGTCCCTGTGCTTTTGTGCTGAGTCTGCAGGTCGGGAAGCCGGGTCCCAGGACCTTGGCTGTTTGTGGGACCGGGGTCTCTGAGTGGGGAACAGATGGGCAGGTGGTCCCCCCCGCTTTCTCCGGGTATCTATACCCGGAGTGACGCTCAGACCGGGTGACCACTGCTGTGCAGACGTGGAGGGAAAGGCCTGGGGGCACCTGAAGGTTTGTAGGGGTGTCGGGGCTCCCAAGGCATCTGGAGGGATATGGGGGGCCCCTGAGGGCACCTGGGACTCCGGAAGTCGCTGTTTCCCAGCAGTATGGAAATGCTGCCACATGTTAACAAAGGGAAGTCCTGCCTCGTTCCCTGGAAAATCCCCAGGAGGCCAGAGCTCCCCAGCTTCACTCCGCCCCTGACCTGCCGACCTGCGCGGTCCCCGCACGGTGTGGACGCGGAGGCTGGGCCGGTCTGCAGGTGGGAGGCCGAACCCTGTCCGGCCGGTGCCCCATCCCCACCGACCTCCCCGCCTGAGGCTCTCAGCCTCTAACCCTTTCCCGAGGGGCTGGGTGGGGCTCCATGGGGTCAGTGAACGGGGTCACCTGGTCCTTCCCGCGGCCCTGCTCCCGCAGGTTGAGCGCGATGCGGTGGGCTTGCTCCTTTGTGCCGAGCAGGTTGATGTTAAAAGCAATGAGGAACTTCCTCGCCCCCGTGGCCGTGGCCCCCCAACTGGGGACAAAGGAGCTGGGACCAAAGTCGGGCGCCCAGTCGGCCTGCTGGAGCTGTGAGCAAGTTCGCTCTGGGGTGAGACATCCCCCACGGGAGGGAACAGCCCCCCGGGGTCCCGGGAAGGAGGGGCCCGGCCCAGCCACCCCAGCCAGGACAAAGGGGCAGGTCCACCTCCTTCCCAGGCCCGACCGCCCGGGGTGGGGGCACCTTCTTAGGGAGGGCCTCGTACTCCCCGGCCCGGATGGCCGGCAGGGTCCGGCGACTGTCCATCCTGGCTGCCTCGCCGTACAGGTAAACTGCAGGAGAGCCCGGCGGTCAGGCCTGGACCGGCAGGGGGTCCAGGACTCAGTTCCTGGAGGACGCAGGTGGAGGGGCTCCCTCCAGCCTAACCCAGGAATGGGCCTCTACTGCACCCTCTCCTGGGGAGTGCCCGTTCTCCGCCTTGGATGGATGCGGGTGGTCCCAGTGGACCCTCAGTGTGGGCCAGCACCCCTGCCCACCCCCTCCTCAGAGGGCCCTGAAAAGGCGAATTGCAGGGTTAGGATGGAACATGTGGGACATGCTAACGGCAGGACGTTCATGCTTCTGTTTTCTTTGTATGATAAACAGAACCGCAAGCAACCACATAAATATAACGGCAGAGAAGAGGAAAAACTCGTGAACCCGCACACCAGTGTGACTGTGACGTGGGCCCTGCGTCGGGATTTCCTTCGGGGGGACTGGCATGACCGTGACGGGGGTTACGTGTGCCCTGCATGCCGGCGTGACCGTGACGGGGGTTACGTGTGCCCTGCACGCTGGCGTGACTGTGACCTACGTCCCTGCCTCGGGATTTCTTTCCAGGAGCGCTGGGTTGGTGCAGCCTAGGGGTGGGTATGCACTTTGTCCCGTTTGTCTCTGTTTGTTTCATATCATTTTCTTGATTTAGTTAATTTCCCAAAGTGAAATTATTCTGCTCTAGAAGGCGTGGACTTTAAGGCTCTTGGTTTGCCTGTGCAGCTGCTCTGCGGTGTAGTCTGAGGAGGCCCCGGGCCTGCACGGCCGCAGGCGAGGCTGCGTTTATTTCGGTATTGAGGGAGCTGCGCTTCTGCATGTTGGCTTTTTGGAACACTCTGCCCTTGCAAGAGCAGTCAAGGGCAGGGAACTGGGGGATACAGAAGGAGCCAATAACCCACACCAATGAGACGGGAGCAGAGTGAGGGGGGCGGGGGGGCACGCTCACCTGGCACGTCCAGCTCCTCTGCCAGCCTCTGGCCAAAGGCCTGGGCGCAGAGCACACACTCATCCACGCTGACGCCCCTCACGGGGATGAAGGGGCAGACGTCTAGGGCCCCCATGCGGGGGTGCTCTCCTGCAGAGAGACGGCGAGGCCGGGCAGGAGGCCAGGTGTGGGAGCGGGTGGGAGCTCCACGGGGTTCTCGGACCCTCTGTCCTCTCCGGCCTGGGCAGCCCCCAGTCCACACACCCAGCAAGCTGCTCACACTGACCCACAGGGAGGAGGCCGGCCCTGGGCGCTCCCAGCCCTGCCCCAGCGGCAGCACCAGCCCTCCCGGGACAACGGAAGTTCCCGCACCGTCCTCCCAGCCAGTGTGGGGGAGGTCCTTCAGCCCAGGAGCAGCAGCACCTGAGCGGGTGGTCTGGCATCTCTGGGATAAACCTGTCCCTCTCCTAACACTCACAAAAATAACTTTGAAAGGGGTGCAAAGCTCAGCTCTCAGGCAGCCCCGGCCAGGCCAAGAGGGGGCGCTCGAGGCTGGGTTCCGGCCACCCCAACCCCCTCCCCTGAAGCCGAGAATCCACTCTGCGTTTCCAGAGCATTCTTCTCACTAGCTGAGTCCCTCGCTGTGGCTACACCAAGCCGTGGGTCGGCGCCCACCCCAGGGGACGCCAGCCTCCCCCGCCTTTGCCGCCACCGCCCAGGGCTGGCCACTTAGAGATAAGCTTCTCATCCATCCACCCCTCAGGATCACTGTGGATCCCTGGCCTCTCATGAGCGGCCCACAGCCCAGCCCCTGGCCAGCGCCCGTGTGTCCACACACCTTTGGCCCTGCCTGCCCACCGAGGTGTTTGGCTTGTGGGCTGTTGACAGGTCAGCTTCCAGGCAGCCCTTCCCCCACCAGTGCCTGCTCCAAGACTGGCTCTCAGCCCCCTTGACGAGTGGGCAGGTGGACGGGGCCCACAAACCTTCCCCGGCGTGGCCCCCTCCCCCCACCCAGCCGTGAAGGTGGCCCGGTGCTGTGGGAGCGTGGCGACCTGGGGGTCCCCCAGAGCACAGCCCTGCAGGCAGGATGGGGGCCATGACCCCCACACTCCAGGGTCCTCCTAGGAGAGCCAGAGCCAGCCCCACTGGACCCCACGTTCCAAGCCTGGGCCCCGGGCCTACCCCCTCTCCCAGGACACCAGGACAGGGCTCGGCCCTGACATTCTGAGACACGGCAGCCACAGGAGAGCCCAGAGACCTCACCTTGGTGCCTGCTCATGTCGATAAGTCGGGAAGCTACCCGGGCAGCGTTGAGGGCCCCCTCCACCACGCACTCCGGCGGCCCCACGAAGGTGTACACGGTGCGGTTGGTGGAAGGGCCTGCGTCCACATCCAGCAGCACGCAGCCCGGGGTCTGTGTGATGGCTCCAGAGATGGCGTCGATCACCTGGGACACAGGCCCGGCCCCCACACCTCAGTCTCCCCGTTTGAAAGAAGGAAAAGGAGCTTGGAGGTGGCTGCACCCCGAGACACAAATGGGGGCTGAGGAGGCGGGCCAAGCCTTTGGGGGCTCTCCGACAAGCTGAGCTCCCACCGAAAGTGCCCGCACACAGCGGCCGCCCGGGAACCCTCACAGCAGCCACAGTCACTCCAGCCCAAGCACAGTCCCCACAAGGGGCTGCAGGTGGTGCCTCCAGGAGAGACTCACGGGCTCTGCTCCGACAGACAGATGCCAGAGACGTGGCCGGGGATCCAAGAAGGTGACCACAGGCGCAGGTCACAGAGGGGCCGGGACCCCCACCCCCGAGCAGGGGAGGGACAGATCACCAGCATGGGGGAGGGGCCTGAAGGGCCTAGAACCTTCCGGGTGGCAGGACTGCTGGGAGCAGGGGCTCAGCCCCAAATCTTGCCCTGTCCCAGGGCCTTGGTGCTGGCTGGAATCCCGGCATGACGAGGCCTCCCTGCACCCCTGCGGGTGACCCCTGTGGCCTGGTGCTGCGCTCTGGGAGGCCTTCCAGGTGGCCCTTAGGGCCTGCGTTTGTTCCCGGAGGAGCCTGGACCTCAGGGCTGTGGAAGGCGAGAGGCCGGACCTGGGGGCCTGCTGCCCCCTCTGTGCCTACTTCGTTTTGGGTCCAGTGAGGATGGTGGCTGCAGGGTGGGGGCTCAGCAAGCTAACTCCAGTGGAGATGGAGAGGCGGCAGTGGGGACCATGCTGGGCCACCTCGTGTGGCCTCACACAGCCCTTTCAGTCAGTGGCAGGAGCCCCATTTTCAGGGGGGAGCACCAAGGCCCTTTGAGGCCCAGAGATCTGCCCAACCCCCCACCGAAAGCACCCGAAAGGCCCCTGAAGCCACAGCCAAGCCTCAGCCCCCACAAGCACCAGTCGTGTTCCACCCACCCCTGGGTCAGGCACTCCCCAGGGCCCTGAGCCACGGGATGTCCTTGGGGCCCACGGGCAGCGGCTCTGCCCATCCTGGGAAGACGACCCGGGACACCAAGCCCACCACCTCCTCCATGGCCTGGGCCTTAGCCACTCAAGCTGCCCCATCAGCCCTAGATGCTTGACCAGCTCCTCGGGCCTCACCTCCTGGTTCTTCCCCTCCGAAAAGTTGGGGACGCATTCCACCAGCTGGGACATGGCCAGCACCTTGATCCAGATGCTCCTCTCTGGGCAGATGGAAGGACAGGGCCAGTGCTCCGCAGCCGCCGCCAGGGCCTTTATACGCTCACCGGCAGCACCTCCCCACCGGCTTCTCATTAACCAGCAAGGCACAAGGAGCAGTGGGGCCAAGGTCCCTGTGCAGCCGCGGAGTGGGGTGCTGCAGAGCCACCCCGGGTGCTGTTGACCCAGAGGGGATGGCTCCACTCAGCCAGAGTGTGGGTTCCCGGAAAAGAAGCACATGCCAGGGTGAAGGGGCATGTGCCGAGGACCCCCAGGAGCATCAGGCCAGCCTGGCTGGAATCCTGTCGTGACGAGGCCTCCCTGTGCCACTGCGGGTGACCCTCGTGACCCTGTGCTGCCTTCTGGGAGGCCTTCCAGGCAGCCCGTGGGGCCTGCGTTTGTTCCTGGAGGAGCCTGGACCCCTGGGGCTGTGGAGGGCGAGAGGCCAGCATGAGGCCCTGGCTCGCAGCACCCAACTGAGGTCAGCTCAGCTCAGACAGGAGAGTGCAGGGGAGCACGCGTGTGAGAGTGAGTGAGGATACACGTGAGGGCAGGGCAGGGGAACACGTGAGAGTGCAGATACACGTGAGCACAAGGCAGGGGAGCACATGTGTGAGAGCGTGGATACATGTGAGCACAGGACAGGGGAACACGTGTGAGAGTGAGCGAGGATACATGTGAGTGTGGGGTAGGGGAGCACACGTGTGAGAGTGCAGGTACACGTGAGCATGGGGCAGGGGAAGCAAGCATGTGAGAGTGAGTGCAGATACATGTGAGCGCAGGGCAGGGGAACACGCGTGTGAGAGTGCAGATACACACGAGACGGGCATGTGCGATATGGGGGAAGGCAGCTGAGACCCCAGCTCTCCCCAGCTGCTGCTCCCCTGACTACAGGCTCCCCACGAAGTCAGCGGCACCAGGGCCGTGCTCAGAAGGGAGAACTCCTGTCTCCACGTTCAGCCGCTGCCCACTTGCAGTGCTTTTATCATTTTCTCTTTTTTTTTTTTTTGAGACAAAGTCTCACTCTGTCAGCCAGGCTGGAGTGCAGCGGCACAATCATGGCTTCCTGCAGCCTTGGTCCCCAGGCTCAAGAGGTCCTTTCACCTTAGCCTCCTGAGCATCTGGGCCACAGGCACACACCACTACACTGGCTAACTTTTCCATTTTTGGTAGACATGGTGATATGGTTTGGCTGTGTCCCCACCTAAATCTCATCTTGAATTGTAGAGCCCATAGTTCCCACGTCATGGGAGGGACCCGGTGGGAGGTCACTGAATCACGGGGGCGGCTTTTTCCGGTGCTGTTTTTGTGATAGTGAATGGTCTCACGAGATCCGATGGTTTTATAAAGGGCAGTTCCCCTGCACACACCCTCTTGTAAGACGTGACTTTGCTCCTCTTTCACCTTCCACCATGATTGTGGAACTGTTGAGTCCATTAAACTGCTTTTTCTTTAAAAATTACCCAGTCTTGCGTATGTCTTTATCAGACAAATACACATGAGGTCTCACCACGTTGCCCAGGCTGGTCTCAAACTCCTGGGCTCAAGCGATCCTCCTGCCTCGGCCTCCCAAAGTGCTGGAATTACAAGTGTGAGCCACTGAGCCCAGCCCCACTTGAAGTTCTTTTTTTTTTTTTTTTTTTTTTTTGAGACAGGGTCTCGCTCTGTCGCCCAGGCTGGAGTGCAGTGGTGCGATCTTGGCTCACTGCAAGCTCTGCCTCCCGGGTTCACGCCATTCTCCTGCCTCAGCCTCCAGAGTAGCTGGGACTACAGGCACCCGCTACCACACCCAGCTAATTTTTTGTATTTTTAGTAGAGATGGGGTTTCACCATGTTGGCCAGGATGGTCTCGATCTCTTGACCTCATGATCCACCCACCTCGGTCTCCCAAAGTGCTGGGATTACAGGCGTGAGCCACCCACTTGAAGTTCTTAATGGAACCCCAACCATGTGGGCCTTAGGGACCCCACCTCCGTGGCTACTCAGGGGGACTGGGATGAGACAGGAGCCAGGTAAGCCCAGAAACCTTCAGAGGCTGGGAGCACACAGAGTTCCCCAGCCAGGGCTCCACGTCTGGAGGCTGGGAGTGGGGGATGGGGTCAGGGATCTGTGTCTGGAGGGAGACCAGGAGGGGAGGATGGGGTCAGAGCTCTGTGGAGCCTCAAGGGGAGGATGGAGTCAGGGATCCATGTCTGGAGGCCAGGAGGGGAGGATGGGGTCTGTTGAGGGCCGCACTGCATTCCCTCGAGAAACCATCTGCTGAAGGCCTGACCTCCAGCATGGCAGACTGGATTACCCCCAGCACCGCCGACTGGATTGGATGTGGAGATGGACAGGGCGGTGAGAAGAGGGAGAGACACCAGGGATGCACTCAGAGAAAAGGCCAGGAGGACAAAGCAGGGAGGCGGCCGCCTGCAAGCCAAGCAGAGAGACCTCAGACAAACAGAATCTGCAGACACTTTGATCTTGTACTCTGGGCCTTCAGGACTGTGATAGAATAAATTTCTGTGGTTTAAGCTGCTGGGTCTGCGGTACTTTGTGACGGCAGCCGCACACATCCAGGGTCCCGAGGTGCGGGGCACTGGAACATTCTGGCTGTGAGGGTTGCCCACACTGGGCTGGCACCTTCATCCTCGCACCACAGCAGAGTGACCAGAACCATACACTCGTGACCCAGGACGGTGCCAAGGCCAAGACCTGGCCCTGTCCTCCAGCCCAGCAAATCGCCTGTCAGGAGAGAGGGTTGGGGCGGGAGGCCCCGGCAGGAGCTGCATGCATTTCCTACCCAGCTACTGCTGGACCAGGGCTTGGCTACAGCTGAGAACACGAGGGGGAATGGGGCTGGTTGTGACGCCGGCGCTGGTTCTCAGGGGCAGCACTGAGACATTAGAAATGCTGGCAGGTGCTGTAAATAGCTCCTGAATCGGGGACCCTAAGGGACCCCACTTACAGGAGAAAGAATCTCAGCTATGCCCACACCAGGGTTTCCACCATCTCTCCCCAGTGACAGGCCCAGGGCTACTGATTCCAGGGCCAGGCAGGCCATACACTTTTCTAACCCAGAGTATGAGACAAACATAGTGGGCCCATAAGTAAATGACTGAATACGGAAGCTGTGTGCAGGAGAATCCGAGTTCACTTGGGCCGGTGCCCACCTCCGTCCCAGGAGGTGGAAATCATCCCCTAGAAGCTCACTGCCCTCCCGTCTACAGATGGAAGAGCTGGTGCCCAGGGCCCGGGTGCTGCCCCAGGAGACATGGCCACGCCAGCCACTTCAGGGCCACCCTCCTCACCCTGTTCCCATTTCTCCTCATTTTAATAGTACAGTAAGAAAAAGTGCAGGAATGGGCTTCACCCTCTCTGCACGGGAGCCCTCCAGAAAGTTCCACGTGCACCTGCAGCTTAGGGGCCTAGGGGGTGGCACTGCCAGGGTGGGGGTCTAGCTTCTGACCACAGGGCCCCCCCAGGCTAGCCCAGCACAGTGGACAACTTGGGCCCCACTATATGGACAGAGGGTGAGCCATGGGCACCGCCCCAGCCAAAGCCCCCAGGGGCCACTCCAAGCCAAGCCCAAGAGCCTGGAAGACACTAAGGCTGTTTGGGGGACCCATGGCCAGAGGCTGAGAACCCCATTCTTCTAGAGACCCAGAGCACAGGGGCTGAATGCCACCTGCCCACCAGACTGTTCCTGTATAACTCATATGGTTTTTGTTTTCTGGTTTACAATGCTTTGACCTCTCGGGGGCCTTACTGGCTAGGTGGAGACTGCCCTCCCAGGACTGGCTAATTCCTAGAGACAGCAAAAGGTGCCTGCAAACAGAGCTCCCCTTTAAGGCACAAGCCAACCCACCTGGAGCCTGTAAACCCAACCACCCCTTATCTGACTCACTCACCAAACCCATGTTCCTCTGCCCTCAATCACCCTGGGGCAGGACGGTGGTCAACTAGACACCACCCCATAGCCCGGAGCCCAGGGAAATTAACCTGTCCAATCCTAAACTTGCTCCTTCGTGCCTACCCTCCCTGGCCTCTCTTCCCAGGGAAACCCCCACAGAGCCTCTGGCCATGCTCTCCCCTCTCGCCTTCTGCGTCCTGTTGCCACGGCGCCCCGCCCCGGGCGGCCCTGTGTGGCACGGTACGTGCCCTCCTGTGGTTTAAGTAGCTGGGTCTGCAGTACTTTGTGACACACTCTCCTTTAAAGTCAGGAGTCCTGTGTCTGTATCCCACCACACCCAACTGAAATAAATCCTGGTGCGTTTCATCACAGCCCTTCCTATCCCAGGCTTGCTGAAAGTATCCACTCGCTGGCACCGAGGGGAAGGGGGCATGGACCACCTGGCCGAGACTGTGTGGCTGCAGCCCTAGGCCTGGGGCCCAAAGCTCCTGGCCCAGCCACAGAGCCAGCCCAGTGCCGGCGTGGCCACAGGCGACCCTCAAAGGTAAGGCCAGAAATCAGCACCCAGCCACAGAGCCAGCCCACTGCCGGTGTGGCCACAGGCCACCCTCAAAGGTAAGGCCAGAAATCAGCACCCAGCCAGAGCTTCTCAGGCCAGTGGGCCCCTCGTCTGCCGGGCATGAGGTTGGGCCCGCACCCCAGGATCCAGCCCATCTGCACCTGGGAGCTGAATGTTGTAGCTACCAGCCAGAGTGGGGTCCCCAGCAGTCTCCATCGAGCTCTGAACTGTTAATGTGTGACAGCCCTGCCATCCTCGCCACTATTGCTGAGACAGTGTGAGGACCAGGCTGAGCGTGCTGGCTTGTGCAGCATGAGCCAAGACTCCCCTGAGACACGGTAAATGCCCCTCGTTCCAGGGCACTTTGGAACTGGGTATCTCCTCAGCCCCAAGGTCCCGCCAATTCACTGAGGGCCCGTCTTCTCGCTGTTCCGGCCTCCGGCAGGGAGATGACCCAGGGGGAGGGGAATTGATGGGTCAGCTCCCCAGCTCCCCGCTCCGGGATGGTGCAAGGTGCACCTGACATGGTCTCCGGGGCTCCCCTGTGCTCGTCCACCCCCAGCACCCCCATGGTCTCCGGGGCTCCCCGGCGCTCGCCCACCCCCGGCACCCCCACGGTCTCGGGGCTCCCCTGTCCTCGCCCACCCCCAACACTCCCACGGTCTCTGGGGCTCCCCGGCGCTCGCCCACCCCCGGCACCCCCATGGTCTCCGGGGCTCCCCTGTGCTCGCCCACCCCCAGCACCCCCACGGTCTCGGGGCTCCCCGGCGCTCTCCCGCCTGCGTTGCCACTGCTCAGCCCTAAGGTCCGGGTTCACTGTAACGCGGCTGTTGCCCTTTCGAATTCTTCGCTTTTGAACAAGGGGCTGCGTTTCCATTTTGCCGGCAGGGGTGCGCAACCATCCGCCAGAACCAAGTCCTTGCCCCAGCTCGGCATTCGGGGAAACCCAAACTGGGACAGGACTCGCCGTCCCGGGCGGGAAAGCGGGTGGGCGTGGAGGCCCGGGGGAGGGGAAGGGGGGAGGGGGAAGAGGGGGCCCCTGCCGGCTGCGGCTCCTTCCTGGCTTCCCTCCTTGAGCACCGAGCGGCGCTTCCTGCAGGCGGAGCAGCGGCCGAGGCGCCCTCCACGCCCTCAAAGAGCCAGAGGTAAAGGCAGACATGCAAACGGATGATTTTAATGAGGGGTGAGAAGCACTCCGCAGGTGCGGGCAGCGGCGGGCTGCGGTCGGGGCCCAGCACCGGTGGGAGCGGGGCCTTCTCTGGCCTCGCGCGCGGGGGACGCGGCCCTTTCCCCTCCGGGGGGACGCGCAGGAGGCACCGCGGCCCCGGGTTGGAACAAACGCGTTTACTGCAGGCAAGGCGGCGGGCGCGGGGCGGCTCACCAGGCGAAGAGGGGCTTGCCGTCCTCCTTGGAGAGCTCGCACAGGCAGTTGAGCAGCAGCAGCGAGTCGCCCAGGAACTTGGGGGGCACCACGTCGATGACCAGCTTGCGCAGCGCGGCCGGGCTGCTGTGCAGGGGGTTGGCGCGCAGGTCGGGCCGCTGCTTCAGGATTCCGTAGGTGTTGATGAGGAACTCGCTGAACGCCGGGTGCACGTCGCGGCTGTAGCCCAGCTTCTCCAGGCGCGCGCTCAGGGCCAGGTAGCGCTGCGTCAGCTCGCGCAGCTTCCTCTCGTCCACGGAGCCGTCCAGAGACTTGGTGGAGGTCTGCGGGCGCAGCGCATGGATGGGGGTGGGGGGCTCGGGGCCCTCGGACGGGGACTTCCAGGCCCAGGGCCGATCCCTGCCCCGCCCGCCTGGGTCCCCGGGGTCCCCTCCTGCGGACAGTGCCCGGCCAGGAGCCAAGATCTGGGGGCCGCACAGGGACGGACCGAGCGCCCCGCACCCTCCTGGCCGCGCCCTCCCCACGGGGCGCACCTGCTCGATCTTCTCGGGGATGTTGGCCACCGTGAAGCCGTAGAGCCGCGTCACGCCCGGGAACACGTAGGCCAGGATGCGGCGGTCCAGCTGGAAGGCGATCTCGCCCACCACGCGCGCGTCCTTCTCGGCGCCCGCGAAGCTCTGGATCTCTGGGGGAGGGAAGGCCGGGGACAAGGTCAGGGGAGCGCGAGGATCCACTGCCCTCGAGGGTGCCCTCGGCCACGTGGGGGGCGGCTCCTCCACCCCCCTCCTCCCACCTGCCGCCACCCCCCACTGTCTGGCAAATAGAATCTGAAAGAAAAGGAGCTTCTTAAAGTGCCAAAGGGCAAGCCAGCCTTCCCTTCCCCCTGTCCTCGGCTCCCTTCTGTCCCTTTGCGATGAGGTAAACCTTTTAATCTCGGGGGTGGGGACTGGTCCCCTGTCACGCGGGAGTCTGCCCCAGCGTCGGCCCCTGCGAGGACAGAGGAACCCGGCCCTGGAGGTCTGAGTTGGGACGGGTCCCCTCCAGTGAGGACGCCCGTGGAACAGGGCCGGTCGGCTTGGCTGGGAGGAAGGGGGAGAGTTCTTCTGTCTTGGCAACCTCTGGGCATCAAAGGCTGCTTTAATGTTTATTCAATAAAACTGCTTCATTCTTTCCTACCTCTGAGAAAAGGACCGCTGGGTTGGCAGGACTTTTTTTTTTTTCTTAGACAGAGTCTCACTCTGTCATCCAGGCTGGAGTGCAGTGGCGCCATCTCCACTCACCGCAACCTCCGCCTCCCCGGCTCAAGCGATTCTCCTGCCTCAGCCTCCAGAGTAGTGGGACTACAGCCGCGTGCCACCACACCCAGCCAAGTTTTTGTATTTTTAGTAGAGCTGGGGTTTCACCCTGTTGGCCAGGCTGGTCTCGAACTGCTGACCTCAGGTGATCCGCCCACCTCAGCCTCCCATAGTGCTGGGATTACAGGCGTGAGCCACCGCACCTGGCCCAGGACATTCTACTTTAATTACTTCCTCAACATTACTTAGGAGACTGCAATGCTCCCACAAAACCTGCTTCCGAACCCCCCTCCCCAGGACAGCCTCTGATGGCATCCGAGTCCGTAACAGCACATGACCTTGTCCATCTTTTTCCTGGAGGACGGGAAACAGTATCTCATTTGCATTTCACTAACGACTAGTGATTCGAGCATCTTTTCACGTGCTTATTGGCCATTTATATACTGTATCTTCTTTGGAGAAATATCTATTCAGGTCCTGTAGTGATTTTTCATTGGATTGTTTGTCTTCTTACTGTTGAATTGTCAGAGTTCTTAAATATTCTGCATACTAGTCCCATTTCAAACGCACAATTTACAAATGTTTTCTCCCATTCTCCGGGTTGGCTTTTCATTTTTTTGATACTGTCCTTTGAAGCACAAAAGTTTGTTTTTTTGTTTTGTTTTACTTTTGATGAAGTCCAATTTGTCTGTTTCTCTCTTTTGCTCATGCTTTTGATGTGATCTCTAAGAATCCATTGCCAAATCCAAGGTCACGAAGATTTACCCCTATGTCTTTTCTACAAGTTTTCTGGCCTCAGCTCTTTGAGACCTCTTAGGTCTTTGATCCATTTTGAGTTAATTTGTGTATGTGGTGTGGAGTAAGGCCCAGCCTCATTCCTTGGCATGTGGATACCTCTTTGTTCCAGCACCACGCGTTAGACAGTATTCAGTCCCTCCTGAATTGTCTTGGCACTCTTGTTGAAAACCATCTATGTACAGTTTTATTTCTGACCTTCCCATTCCATTGCATTGATCTGTATGTCCATCGTTATGGCAGTACCACAGTCTTGTTAACTGTAAGTTTTATAGTCAATTTTGAAACTGGGAAGTATGAGTCCCTCAATGTTCTCCTTTTTCAAGATCGTTTTACTTATTCTGGTTCCTTACACTTCTATATGAATTTCAGTTTCTGCTTGTCAATTTCTGTAAAGAAGCCACTAGGATTCTGATTGGGATTGCATGAATCTGCAGATCCAATGTAATCCATATCAAAATTATTGATTTTTGAACAATATAAAGTCTTCTAATCTGTGAACACAAGGTGTTTTTCTGTTTATTTATTTATTGTTTGTTTGTTTGTTTTTTTGAAGAAAGGGTCTCGCTCTGTCACCCAAGCTGGAGTGCAGTGGCACGATCTCAGCTCACTGCAACCTCTACCTTCTGGGCTTGAGTGATCCTCCCACCTCAGCCTCCTGAATAGCTGGAACTACAGGCATGCACCACCACGACCAGCTAACTTGGGTGGTGGGGGGTTGGTAGAGATGGGGTTTCGCCCTGTTGCTGAGGCTGGTCTTGAACTCCTGGGCTCAAGAGATCTGCCCATCTCAGCCTTCCAAAATGTTGGGATTACAGGTGTGAGCCACTGTGCCTGGTCATTTATGTCTTCTTTCATTCCTTTCAGTGATGTTTGTAGTTTTCAGTGTATTTCTTTCCCAATCACTTTTCAAGACTGCAGAAGAGGTATGTCAACACACTGCACAGAAGTGTGTTAGGGCCAATGAGGGGTGTGGAAGAGCAGGTGTAATCTCCTCCTTCTGTATCAATGTATTTCTCTCATCAAGAATCAAGCTCTTGGCCAGGTGCGGTGGCTCATGCCTGTAATCCCAGCACTTTGGGAAGCCGAGGTGGGTGGATCACAAGGTCAGGAGTTCGAGACCAGCTTGGCAAACATGGTGAAACCCCATCTCTACTAAAAATACAAAAATTAGCCAGGCATGGTGGCGGGTGCCTGTAATCCCAGCTACTGAGGAGGCTGAGGCAGGAGAATGGCTTGAACCCGGGAGGTGGATGTTGCAGTGAGCCGAGATCGCACCACTGCACTCCAGCCTGGGCGACAGAGCGAGACTCCATCTCAAGAAAAAAAAAAAAAAAAAGAATCAAGCTCTTTCTCCCATCCCCCCACCAAGGCAAAAATGAGGTAGAAGAAACATCCTATAGAAGAGAAATGATTCTAGTATAGGTTCTAGAAATGATTTCTAGTCCAACCTGGGCTCTGTAAGATCCAGCCAAAAACCTGTTCTTCAAAGGAAAAAGGCCATACATTGATAAACCTCTAGCCAGACTTAGGGGAAAAAAGAAAGAAGACAAAAATTACCACTAGCAGAAATTAGAGATGCCACTACCACAGATTCTACAGACATAAAAAGGATAATAAGGAAGTATTAGGAATGACTTTATGCCAATAAATTTGACAACCTAGATGAAATTGACCAATTCCTTAAAAGACACAAACTACCAAAGTTCACTCAAGAAGAAATAGATACTCTGAATAGCCTTATATCTGATAACCTTACAGGTCACATTTGACAGTTTAAAAGTAAACAGACTTCCAAACTGGCCTGCTTGGGAAGGTCTTATGATTAATGGTCCCTGAGTAAAGAATCTTATCATGATTTCCTCAGATTGCTGATGTGCTGATTAATGGACTGAAAAGATGCTGATTTATTCCTGAATCATAAAGGTTTACTGACTGTCTTGCACAGAGATGTGTTGACCTGTATGTTGTCATCTGTAGCCAATGCTTGTAACCTCTGTGTTGTACCCTCCAAAGAAAAGGACAACATGAGTATGAGGAGTCCTTTCTCTCCTCCTAGCCTCTCCTGTAGAAGCCTTCTGACTTAGATATGAGTATGAGTCCTTTCCCTCCTCTTAGCCTCTCCTATAGAAACCTTCTGACTAGAAAAGGACAACATGAGTATGAGGAGTCCTTTCCCTCCTCCTAGCCTCTCCTATAGAAGCCTTCTGACTTAGACATGAGTATGAGGAGTCCTTTCCCTCCTCCTAGCCTCTCCTATAGAAACCTTCTGACTTAGATTCCAGAACACTCTCAACTTTGTTGGTGTGTTCCTCTGGGTTGATCCTCACATTTGGCTTCCAATAAACCTTTATCGAATTATTTGTCTCAACAGCCTTAATTTCAGTTGACATTATCAATAAAATGGAATTTGTAGGGGGAAAATGTTCCCACAGAGACCATTCAAGGCTCGGGTAGTTTCAGCGGTGAATTCTACCACTTAAGGAATAAATAACACCAATTCAACACAAACTCTTCTAGATAAAGAGGAGGGAAGACCACAAAACAATGAGAAAACAAATAACAAAATGGCAGGAGTAAATCTTTATCAATAATAACTTTGAATGTAAATAGGCAGGTGCAGTAGCTCATGCCTGTAATCCCAGTACTTTGGGAGGCTGAGGTGGGCGGATCACTTGAGGTCAGGAGTTTGAGACCAGCCTGGTCAATGTGGCAAAACCCCATCTCTACTAAAAATACAAAGATTAGCTGGGCGTGGTGGCACGCACCTATAATCCCAGCTACTCGGGTGGCTGAGGCATGAGAATCACTTGAACCCAGGAGGCGGAGGTTGCAGTGAGCCAAGATTGCACCACTGCACTCCAGCCTGGGCATCAAAGTGAGACCCTGTCTCCAAAAAAAAAAATTACAGCACAGTCAAATCGATGAATGATAGTATGTGAGTTTGGTCAAAAACAACCAAGAAACTTTGAATGTAAATAGACTAAACTCTCCAATCAAAAGACGGAGTGGCTGAATGGATAAAAAAAAAACAAGACCCAACCATCTGCTGCCTACAAGAAACACACGTCGCCTATAAAGACTCACACAGACTGAAAATAAAGGGATAGAAAAGGATATTCCATGCAAATGAGAACCAAAAAAGAGCAGTAGCAGCCATAGTTATATCAAAGTGGATTTCAAGACAAAAACTATAACAAGAGACAAAGAAGGTCATTATATAATGATAAAGGGGTCAATTCAGCAAGAGGATATAACAGTTATAAATATATATGCACCCAACACTGGAGCACCCAGATATGTAAAGCAAATATTACTAGAGCTAAATCGAGAGACAGACCCCAGTACAATAGTAACTGGAGACTTCAATACGCATTTTCACCCTTGGACAGATCTTTAAGACAGAAAATCAAAGAAATATCAGACTTAATCTATACTATAGACCAAATGAACATGATAGATATTTACAGAACATTTCATCCAACAGGTGCAGAATACACCTGCTTCTCATTAGCACATGGATCATTCTCAAGGATAGACCATATGCTAGGCTGCAAAACAAGTCTTTAAAAATCAAAAAAATTGAAATTATATCAAGTATCTTCTCCGACCATAATGGAATAAAATGAAATCAATAACAAAAGGAATTTTGGAAATTATACCAACACATAGAAATTAAACAATACGCTCCTGGATGGCCAGTGCATCAGTGAAGAAATTAAGAAGGAAATTTTAAAAATGTCTTGAAACAAATGATAATGGAAACACAACACACCAAAACCTACTATGTACTAGATTCAGCAAAAGCCATACTAAGAGCTATAGCTGTAAGTGCTAAGAGTTTATAGTTATGAGTGCCTATATCAAAAAAGTAGAAAAACTTCAAATAAGCTAATGATTCATCTTACAGAGCTAGAAATGCAAGAGCAAACCAAATCCAAAATTAGAAGAAAAATAATTAAGATCAGAGAAGAAATAAATGAAATTTAAATGAAGAAAACAATACAACAGATCAATGTAACAAAAAATCGGTTATTTGAAAAGATAAATAAAATTGACAGGCCAGGCATGGTGGCTCATGCCTGTAATCCCAGCATTTTGGGAGGCCGAGGCAGGCGAATTGCTTCAGCCCGGGAGGTCAAGACCAGCCTGGGCATCGTAGCAAAATCCCATCTCTACAATAACAAAAACACAAAAACCAAAAAATTAGCCAGGCCTGGTGGCATACACCTGTAGTCCCAGATACCTGGGAGGCTGAGGTGGGAGGCTGGCCTGAGCCTCAGGTGGATATCTACATGCAAACCTCACACCATATATGAAAATTAACTTGGAATTGATCAGAGACCTACATGTAAAACCTAAACTATAAAACTTCTAGAACAACACACAGGAGAGAATCTGTGTGACCTTGGGCTTGGCAAAGATTTCTTAAACTGAACATAAAAAGCATAAAATACAAAAGAAAAATCAATAAATTGGACATCATCAAATTAAACAGTTTTGCTCATCAAAAAACATTATTATGAAAATGAAAAACCATGGAGTGGGAGACCGTATCTGCAAAACATACACCCAAAAAAGGACTCATATCCAGACACATAAAGAACTCTCACAACTTCCCAAGAAGAAGATAAGCAACCCATTTTATCTTTAAAGATGGACAAAAGACTAGGACAGACACAGCCTTGGACCCCAGCCTCCCAGCCTGGCTCTCCTCCCTCCACTCTGTGTGACTGGATGGAGAAACGGCCCTGCCTGACCACCCAGTCATGCCCTCCCCACAGCTGCCAGCCTGCACTGGGGGCCCCCCCAGGTGCCCCCGCACCCGGCCATACCATTGAGGTAGTAGCTCCTCCTGGTCCTGTCCCCGGTGGGCAGGCTGCTCTCCGAGAAACACACCTTCTTAGGCCGGACCATCTCCCTGGGCTCCAGCAGGGTCTTGTCCACCAGTGAGTCTTGCAAGGGGCTCAGGAGCGGGGACAGCTTCCTGTCGGTGCCTCGGTGGCTATGTGGCTCTGGGGGACTGAGGAAGGCCTTGAAGGGTGCCTGGGAGGGGGCTGCACAGCCCGGGGAGGTGTCGTCCTCGCTGGACAGGGGGGCATGTGAGCACAGCAGGTCCTCCAGGGAGGATGTCTGCAGTTGGGAGGGCGTGTCGGCAACACTCGTGAACCTTCCGAAATCTGGAACTGAGGCGGGGAGGAAAGGGATGAGAAATCAGGCTGATGCTCCTAAAACATTCCTGGGAAGTATAAAGAACATGTTAACAACCCCTATGCACCCCACCCCAAGCTTCAACACCTGCCGGGGTTTCCCTGGCTTCAGAGCATCCTCCTTCCCCTCAGGCCTCAAGTGTAAAAGGAGGAGCTGGATGTGGTGAAGTGGCCACAGGTGCCCATCCTGCCCGTGGGAGCACTGCGTCTATGGGCACAGCAAGCGGGCAGGCCTCCGTGTGCCTCCTGCCTGCCTGTGTGCCCACACACACTGGAGAATGACTTTTATATGCTTAAGTTGTACATAAATGGTAGCACCCTACACATTTTATTCTGCAACTGAACTTTTTGCTGCTGCATTATCTCTTTGAGATTTATCCACCCTGAGCCATCTGGTAGCTACCTGGTTCATTTAACTGTTTCCTGGCAACTCTGTACACATGAGCACACATACAGACACACACACTGAATTTTTAACCCTTGCCCTATTGATGGACAGGGCCTGTTTCCATGTTTCCGTGCAAACACACAGCTGTAATTGGCCTCCCGGGAGGAGCCTTCTGCTCTGTGAGCATCCTCTGTGGATGAGGAGGAGCCCCCTGCTCTGTGAACATCCTCTGTGGATGGGGAGGAGCCTCCTGCTCTGTGAGCATCCTCTGTGGATGGGGAGGAGCCCCCTGCTCTGTGAGCATCCTCTGTGGATGGGGAGGAGCCCCTGCTCTGTGAGCATCCTCTGTGGATGGGGAGGAGCCCCTGCTCTGTGAGCATCCTCTGTGGATGGGGAGGAGCCTCCTGCTCTGTGAGCATCCTCTGTGGATGGGGAGGAGCCCCCTGCTCTGTGAGCATCCTCTGTGGATGGGGAGGAGCCTCCTGCTCTGTGTACATCCTCTGTGGATGGGGAGGAGCCCCCTGCTCTGTGAGCATCCTCTGTGGATGGGGAGGAGCCCCTGCTCTGTGAGCATCCTCTGTGGATGGGGAGGAGCCCCCTGCTCTGTGAGCATCCTCTGTGGATGGGGAGGAGCCCCTGCTCTGTGAGCATCCTCTGTGGATGGGGAGGAGCCCCCTGCTCTGTGAACATCCTCTGTGGATGGGGAGGAGCCCCCTGCTCTGTGAGCATCCTCTGTGGATGGGGAGGAGCCCCTGCTCTGTGAGCATCCTCTGTGGATGGGGAGGAGCCCCCTGCTCTGTGAGCATCCTCTGTGGATGGGGAGGAGCCCCTGCTCTGTGAGCATCCTCTGTGGATGGGGAGGAGCCCCCTGCTCTGTGAACATCCTCTGTGGATGGGGAGGAGCCCCCTGCTCTGTGAGCATCCTCTGTGGATGGGGAGGAGCCCCTGCTCTGTGAGCATCCTCTGTGGATGGGGAGGAGCCTCTGCTCTGTGAGCATCCTCTGTGGATGGGGAGGAGCCTCCTGCTTTGTGAGCATCCTCTGTGGATGGGGAGGAGCCCCTGCTCTGTGAGCATCCTCTGTGGATGGGGAGGAGCCTCCTGCTCTGTGAGCATCCTCTGTGGATGGGGAGGAGCCCCCTGCTCTGTGAACATCCTCTGTGGATGGGGAGGAGCCCCCTGCTCTGTGAGCATCCTCTGTGGATGGGGAGGAGCCTCCTGCTCTGTGAGCATCCTCTGTGGATGGGGAGGAGCCTCCCTGCTCTGTGAGCATCCTCTGTGGATGGGGAGGAGCCTCCTGCTCTGTGAGCATCCTCTGTGGTCCAGGAGGAGCCTCCTGCTCTGTGAACATCCTCTGTGGATGGGGAGGAGCCTCCCTGCTCTGTGAGCATCCTCTGTGGATGGGGAGGAGCCTCCTGCTCTGTGAGCATCCTCTGTGGTCCAGGAGGAGCCTCCTGCTCTGTGAACATCCTCTGTGGATGTGGAGGAGCCTCCTGCTCTGTGAGCATCCTCTGTGGTCCAGGAGGAGCCTCCTGCTCTGTGAACATCCTCTGTGGATGGGGAGGAGCTTCCCTGCTCTGTGAACATCCTCTGTGGATGGGGAGGAGCCTCCCTGCTCTGTGAACATCCTCTGTGGATGGGGAGGAGCCTCCTGCTCTGTGAGCATCCTCTGTGGTCCAGGAGGAGCCTCCTGCTCTGTGAACATCCTCTGTGGATGGGGAGGAGCCCTCTGCTCTCTGAACATCCTCTGTGGATGGGGAGGAGCCTCCCTGCTCTGTGAGCATCCTCTGTGGATGGGGAGGAGCCTCCCTGCTCTGTGAACATCCTCTGTGGATGGGGAGGAGCCTCCTGCTCTGTGAACATCCTCTGTGGATGGGGAGGAGCTTCCCTGCTCTGTAAACATCCTCTGTGGATGGGGAGGAGCCTCCTGCTCTGTGAACATCCTTTGTGGATGGGGAGGAGCCTCCTGCTCTGTGAACATCCTCTGTGGTCTGACGCTGGGCTCAGGTGTGTTCACTTTCTTTGCTTTCCACACCAAGGGGGAGGGTCCATGCCCACCAACACCTCCTGGCCCCACACCCTCATGAGGACTGAATATTCCCCAACCAGGCTGATGAGGTCATGTGGCATTTCCCCAATCCCTGGCCAAATTTAGCTTATCTATGCCTTTATGGCTTATGAAATTCTATTCTACCTCCATGTCATGTGTATTCTCCTAGCAATAAAGCAAATACATATTAGAGAAAGTGTTCGGAGCCATATCAAAAAATTATACCTTAAAATGTGCCTACTGGAGCTTGCAGTGAGCCAAGATCGTGCCACTGCAATCCAGCCTGGGCGACAGAGCAAGAATCCATCTCAAAAAAAAAAAAAAAAATGTGCCTACAAAGGAACCAACTAATCTTCCCTCTGAAATGTTTTCCAAGGAAAAAAAGTTCGAAAGAAGCAAAGTCATCAGCGTGTGCCCGGCCTCCTGCCACGTGGGAGGCCTGGAGTCCTCAGGCTTCACAGACCCCCCACCCCAGACACTTTTCAAATTATAAAAGAATATTATGTACAATTATGTATTAATTAAAATTTCAATAAAAGGAGATAGCCTGGAAAATTACTTTCAAGTGACTCAATAAGAAGTAGAAAACCTAAATGAACCAATACACAAAGAAGGAAAATCTAAAAGTTATGAAATGATTATTCCCCAGAGGGCTGCAGGCCTGGATGGTCTGTGGGTGAGTGTGCCAAGTTCCCAAACAAGTCATAATCCCGACATCATACAAATGAGGCTGGAACCGTAGAACAGGTTAAAAGATGCTCAATTAGGTTTCAAAATTTGTCACAACTCTGATGTCAAATTCCTACAAAGATAACCCCCAGAAAAAAAAAAAAAAAAAAAAAAACCATGGCCAGGCCAAAAATAATTGCACAAAGTCTCATCCAAACATGATCAAGAACACACAGCACGAGGCAGGAGTGTGCACAGAGCATGAGGCAGGAGTGCAGAGCATGAGGCGGGGGATGCACAGAGCATGAGGCAGGAGTGCAGAGCATGAGGCGGGGGATGCACAGAGTGTGAGGTGGGGGATGCAAAGAGCGTGAGGCGGGGGATGCACAGAGCGTGAGGCGGAGGATGCACAGAGCGTGAGGCGGGGGTTGTGCAGAGCACAAAGCGGGGAGGTGTGCAGAGCACAAGATGGGGGTGGAGAGCATGAGGCAGGGGTGTGTGCAGAGCACGAGGCGGTGGGGTGGAGAGCAAGAGGCAGGGTGTGCAGAACCCAGTGGCTGTGCAGCGTAGCAAGATACCAGATACGGTCCCTGGCAAGAAGCTGAGATACCTCCACTGGTACAGAGATAGGCTCACAAACACCGAACAAGATGAGCCATTTCTCAAATTTTCTGTTTTCCAAAAATAAGAACAGGAAGGACTCTTCCACAGCATCCAGCCTGTGCAAACCTCCCTCCTCTGGGCAGATGGGACCGTTGGTCCTTCCCACAGCTGGTCAGGAGGACCAGGATGCGGCCAAAACCCTCTCTCACCTTCCCTGGAGGAGGCCCCATGAAAGTCAAGGCCAAGGCCCGAGTTCTGAGTAATAAGGACAAAGACAGAAATAAGAAGTTCATGTGGATTGGAAGGGCGGGATGGCCGGCCAGATGCAGCCAGATGATACAGCTCCCACGGAGGGCCTGAGATGACTGGTGAGCTTCTAACACATCTTCAGAGGGAAGGTGCTGAGGGCAGATGGAGGGAGCACACAGAAGCTGGGCTGAAGGGGAGAAAGCTGGGAACCTGCCTGGGACTACTGAGCACTGGTGCTCATTTTTGGACCCACAACAGCTCTGGGGAAATGGGGGAGTTAAACGGGCAAGGAGCAACCCACTGTTGCCATGGGCCTCTGGAACCCCAGCTGGGGGAGACCCCTTGCCCACCATGGACACTCTAGTTGGCAGGGAGAGCTGCTTAGAGAAGTGATGGGGGCAGCAGCCAGCTGAAGCAGAACCCAGAGGGTCTGGTGCAGGAACACAGCCAGGGACGGCCGTCCCCCAGGCTTGATTTGCTCCCACAGGAGACTTTGGACCTAGGGGAACTGTCAGACCTGTTCTCTGCAGGGTGGTCTTACCCATCAGATGGGACCAGTCCAACCTGAGCACCCCTTCGTCTGCTGGCCTCTCCTGGGGCCCCAGCCTGGCCATGCCTGCTTGCAGGGCAGTCTTGGGTGCCCTGGGGGTCTTCACCATAGCTTCTGTGCCAGCAGACTGTGCCTGGCCAGTGGAGAGCTCCAGTGAGACAGCCCCGACGGCCACACACCAGCCTGCCTGCTCCCTCCTCATATTGTAGCTTCCCCTGGGCCCAGGCAACTCCCCACATCACTCTGCTGATGTCTGCACAGGTGGGTTTTGATTTCCTTCCCCCACCAGCATGCAGGAGTCCAGTGGGCCTCCCCTTTCCCTACAGACTTCCATTGCAGGTGAAGCCTTGGCAGACACAGAGCCAGCAAGCCCCATACCCGCCAGAACCCTGCCTTTGACCTAACACTGAGCAGAGAACAGTGGATCCTCCCCCACCCTGAGCGATCACTCCTGCTTGCAGGGCACAGAAAAGGCACCTAGACCTGTGCCAACCAGCACCCCACCCATGCCTATAGTACCTCCAGAGTAACTGCACACAGTCTCCAACAGGAGCCCCCCATCCCCACCCCAGCTGCTTTGCCTCCACCACTGTGGTGAACCCCCACAGGAAGGCAGGCACTCTGCATCTGCCAGCCACTCTGCTGTAGCTGCAGTACCTCAGCCCCCCAGTGCAGTGGATTCCAAACCTCAAGGAGCCAGAGAACAAAGTCAGGGCCCAAAACAAGTCCCCCAGAGCTAGAGCATGCAGAGTCCAGGAGTTGGCAGCTGGGCACTGGCCCCTTAAATATTCCATAAATGAAGCCAGTTGGCTGAATCCACCTTATACCACAATCAAAACCTCAAGGTCATCAAACAGACCAGGCATGGTGGCTCATGTCTGTAATCCCAGCACTTTGAGAGGCTGAAGCAGGTGAATCACTTGAGGCCAGGAGTTCAAGACCAGCCTGGCCAACATGATGAAAACCCATCTCTACTAAAAAATAGAAAAATTAGCCAGGCATGGTGTTGGGTGCCTATAATTCCAGCTACTTGGGAGGCTGAGGCAGGAGAATCACTTGAACCTAGGAGGCAGAGGTTGCAGTGAGCCGAGATTGTGCTACTGCACTCCAGCCTGCCTGGGAGACAGAGCAAGACTCTGTCTCAAAAAACAAAACAAAAAAAAAAAAAAAACAGAATGGCAAGCTAGATAAAGAACCAAGACCCATTGGTATGCTGTCTTCAAGAGACCCATCTCACATGCAATAACACAAATAGGCTCAAAATAAAGGCATGGAGAAAAATCTACCAAGCAAATGGAAAACTATGATTGCAGGGTTGCAATCATAGTTTCTGACAAAACAGATTTTAAACCAATGAAGATCAAAAAAGACAAAGAAGAGCATTACACAATGGTGAAGGGCTCAATTTAACAAGCAGACCTAACTACACTAAATATATATGCACCCAACACAAGAGCACCAAGATTTATAAAGCAAGTTCTCAGAGACCTTCAAAGAGGCTTAGACTCCCACATAATAATAGTGAGAGACTTCAACACCATACTGACAGTATTACAGATAATTGAGACAGAAAATTAAAAAAGATATTCAGGACATGAACTCAGCACCGGATCAAATGTACCTGACAGATATCTACAGAACTCTCCACCCCAAAACAATAGAATATACATTCTTCTCATTGCCACATGGCACACACTCTAAATTCAATCACATAATTGGAAGTAAAATACTCCTCAGCAAATGCAAAACAACTGGAATTATAACAAACAATCTCTCAGACGACAACGGACCCAGTTAGAAATCAAGCCTAAAAAATTCACTCAGAACCACACAATTACATGGAAATTGAATAACCCGCCCCTGAATGACTTTTGGGTAAACAGTGAAATTAAGGCAGAAATCAAGAAATTCCTTGAAGCTGATGAGAACAAAAATACAACATACCAGAATCTCTGGGACACAGCTAGGGCAGTGTTAAGAGGGAAATTTATAGCATTAAATGTTCACATCAAAAAGTTGGAAAGATCTCAGTCAAACAACCTAACATCACAGCTAAAAGAACTAGAGAATTAAGAGCAAACAAATCCCAAAGCTAGCAGAAAACAAGAAATAACCAAAATCAAAGCTGAACTGAAGGAGATTGAGACACAAAATACTATTCAAAACATCAATGAATCCAGGAGCTGGTTTTTTGAAAAAATTAATAAAATAGATATACCACTAGCTAGACTAATAAAGAAGAAAAGAGAAAAGATTCAAATAAACACAATCAGAAATAAGGGATATATTACTACTGACCCCGCAAAAATACAACCAACCATCAGAAAATATTATGAAAACCTCTATACACATAAACTAGAAAATCTAGAAAAAATGGATAAGTTCCTGGACACATACACCCTCCCAAGACTGAACTAGGAATAAATGGAATCCCTGAACACACCAATAACAAGCTCTAAAATTGAGTCAGTAATAAATAGCCTACCAACCAAAAAAAGCCAGGACCAGATGGATTCACAGCTGAATTGTACCAGATGTACAAAGAAGAGCTGGTACCATTCCTGGTGAAACTATTCCAAAAAGTTGAGGAGGAGAGTCTCCTCCCTAACTCATTCTATGAGGCCAGCATCATCCTGATAACAAAACCCGGCAGAGATGCAACAAAAAAAGATAACTTCAGGCCAATATATTTGATGAACATTGACGCAAAAATCCTCAACAAAATTCTGGCAAACCAAATCCAGCAGCACATCAAAAAGCTTATCCACCACAATCAAATAGGTTTTATCCCTGGGATGCAAGGTAGGTTCAACATAAATCAATAAATGCGATTCATTACATAAACAGGACTAAAGCAAAAACCATATGATTATCTTAATAGATGCAAAAAAAGCTTTCAACAAAATTCAACACCCCTTCATGTTAAAAACGCTCAATAAACTAGGTATTGAAGGAACATACCTCAAAATAGTAAGAGCTATGTATGACAAACTCACAACCAACATCAAAACTCAACCCCTCAAAACTTGGCACAAGACAAGAATGCCCTCTCTCACCACTCCTATTCAACATAGTATTGGAAGTCTTGATCAGAGCAATCAGGCCAAAGAAAGAAATAAAGCCCATCCAAATAGAAAGAGAGGAAATCAAACTATCCCTGTTTGCAGATGACATGATCTTATATCTAGAAAATCCCATAGTCTCAACCTAGATTCTTAAGCTGATAAACAACTTCAGCAAAGTCTCAGGATACAAAATGAATGTGCAAAAAACACTAACATTCCTATATACCAACAACAATCAAGACAAGAGCCAAATCAAATGGAATGAACTCCCATTTACAACTGCCACAAAAAGAATAAAATGCCTAGGAATACAGCTAACTAGGGAGGTGGAGGATGTCTACAAGGAGAACTACAAAACACTGCTCAAAGAAATCAGAGATTACACAAATGGGAAAACATTCCATGTTCATGCATAGGAAGAATCAATATCATAAAAATGGTCATACTGACCAAAGTAATTTTATAGAGTCAATGCTGTTCTTATTAAAATACCATTGAGATTAATCACAGAACTAGAAAAAAACTGTTTAAAAATTCATATGGAACCAAAAAAGAGCCCGAATAGCCAAGGCAATCCTAAGCAAAAATAACAAAGCTGGAGGCATCACACTACCCAACTTCAAACTATACTACAGAGCTACAATAACCAAAACAGCACGGTACATAGATCAATAGAACGGAACAGAGAACCCAGAAATAAGTTTGCACACCTATAACCACCTGATCTTCAACAAATCTGACAAAAACAAGCAATGAGGAAAGGACTCCCTATTAAATAAATGGTGCTGGGATAACTGGCTAGCCATATGCAGAAGACTGAAATTGGACCCTTTCCTTACACCATATACAAAAATCAACTCAATATGGATTATAGACTTAGATGTAAAACTCAAAACTATAAAAACCCTGGAAGACAACCTAGGCAATACCATTCAGAACATAGGGATGGGCAAAGATTTCACAACAAAGATGCTAAAAGCAATTGCAACAAAAGCAAAAATTGACTAATGGCATCTAATCAAAGAGCTTCTGCACAGCAAAATAAACTATCAACAGAGTAAACAGCAAACCTACAGAATGGGAGAAAATTTTTACAAACTAATGCATCTGACAAAGGTCTAATATTCAGCATCTATAAGGAACTTAAAGAAATCTACAAGAAAAAAACAAACAACCCCATTAAAAAGTGGGCAAAGGACATGAACACTTTTCTAAAGACATACATACAGCCAACGAGCATATGAAAAAAGGCTCAACATCACTGCTTATTAAAGAAATGTAAATAAAAACCACAATGAGACACCATCTCACACCAGTCAGAATGGCTATAATTAACAAGTCAAAAAACAACAGATGCTGGCAACGTTGCAGAGAAAAAGAACGCCTATACACTGTTAGTGGGAGCATAAATTAGTTCAGCCATTGTGGAAGACAGTGTGGCGATTCCTCGAAGACCTAAAAACAGAAATACCATTCAACCCAGCAATTCCATTACTGGTTGGGTTCCATTAATGGTACCCAAAGGAATATAAATCATTTTATTATAGAGACACATGCACGCATATGTTCACTGCAGACTATTCACAATAGCAAAGACACGGAATCAACTTAAATGCCCATCAGTGGTAGATTGGATAAAGAAAATGTTGTACATAGACACCATGGAATATTATGCAGCCATAAAAAAGAAAGAGATCAGCCGGGAGCAGTGGCTCATGCCTGTAATCCCAGTACTTTGGGAGGCCAAGGCAGGTGGATTACCTGAGGTCAGGAGTTCGAGACCAGCCTGACCAACATGGTGAAAACCATCTCTACTAAAAATACAAAATTAGCTGGGCATGGTGGTGCATGCCTGTAATCCCAGCTACTTGGGAGGCTGAGGCAGGAGAATTGCTTGAAATCGGGAAGCGGAGGTTGCAGCGAGCCGAGATCGTGCCATTGCACTCCAGCCTGGGCAACAAGAGTGAAACTCCATCTCAAAAAAAAAAAAAAAAAAAAAAAACCAGAATGAGATCATATCCTTTGCATGAACATGGATGGAGCTGGAGGCTATTGTCCTCAGCAAACTAATGCAGGAACAGAAAACCAAATGCCACATGCTCTTACTTATAAGTGGGAGCTAAACAACGAGAACACGTGGACACATAGAGGGGAACAACAGACACTGAGACCTACCAGATGGTGAAGGGTGAGAGAAGGGAGAGGATCAGGAATAATAACGAATGTACTAGGCTTAATACTTGAGTGACAAAATAATCTGTACAACAAACTCCCATGACACAAGTTCACCTATGTAATAAGCCTGCACTTGTACCCCTGAACTTAAAAGTTTTTTAAAAAAGAAATACATGGCCAGGTGCAGTGGTTCATGCCTGTAATCCCAGCACTTTGGGAGGCCGAGGTGGGTGGATCACCTGAGATCAGGAGTCCAAGATCAGCCTAGCCAACATGGCAAAACCCCATCTCTACTAAAAATACAAAAAGTAGCCAGGCATGGTGGTGTGTGCCTTTAATTCCAGCTACTGGGGAGGGCAAGGCAGGAGAATCGCTTGAACCCAGGAGGCAGAGGTTGCAGTGAACCAAGATGACACCACTGCACTCCAGCCTGGGCAACAGAGCCAGACTGTGTCTCAAAAACAAACAAACAAAAAACCATTTACTCCTGCCTTCTGAATCAATGATTCTATTTTTTAAAAATAAATCCAGCTGGACAGTGGCTCAAGCCTGTAATCCCAATGGTTTGGGAGGCCAAGGTGGGAGAATTGCTTGAGCCCAGGAGTTTGGGACTGGCCTGGGCAACATAGGGAGACCCTGTCTCTACAAAAAAAAAAAAAAAATTTTTAACTAGCCGCTCATGGTGGCAAGCACTGTAGTCCAAGCTACTCAGGAGGCTGAGGTAGGAGGATTGCTTGAGCCCCAGAGGTCGAGGCTGCAGTGAGTCATGATCATTGCCACTGCACTCCAGCCTGGGGAACATAGACCCTGTCTGAAAAAGAAAAAAACATAATGGGCCAGGCACGGTGGCTCACACCTGTAATCCCAGCATTTTAGGAGGTCGAGACAGAAGGATCCCTTAAGCCCAGGAGTTCAAGACCAGCAACATAGAAGATCCCATCTCCATAAAAGTAAAAAAAATCACACACACACCAAAAAAAGAAATCCAATGGAAATAACCTTAAATATAAAAATTCTTAAAACCTTTTTTGTGGTGCTATTTACCTCAAGGGGAAGAAAAACTTTAATTTCAAACTGAGGGAGAATTCATTACATTGTGGTTCATCCGAATCGGCAATATTGCAGGGCCATTTTAAAGTACACCTAACAACACAGGGACAATCTTCTGTCATGTCAGACGGAAGGAGTGACCAGGAGTTGCACATAGAGAATTCTCACCACTGTTGGAAATCATCTGACAATCCACCACCAACAACTAGGGAGCGAGTGGGCAATCTGGGGGGGCCTGGCTGTCCTCCAGGGGACACCTCTCCAGTGGAGACACGGCGAGTGGCATCGTGGCCGTGCTGGAGGGACCAGGACAATCCCGAGGGAGACGAGATGGGGCAGCTGGGAGGGGAGGCAGAGGACTGCTGCTCCCACTGGCCCTTCGCGTCACTCACTTGTAAACCTGGGTGAGAAGACCTGGAGACCTCGCTCCCCAGCTGACGGGGACAGATGAGCCCTCCTGTGACGTGGGAACGATGCCGGCGCAGTGCCCTCCTCCTCCATCAGTGGGGTGTAGGGACCGTTCAGAGAGCGTTTGACAGTGTCTGTTTCAACATTTCAAATGCACACAGCCTTTGACCCGAGGACCCAGGTGTGGGATCCCCTACACAAAGCCACAGGGCGCCTGCGCAGGCCACCCACGGCGGCGGCGTCCACGGTCGCAGAGAACTGGGAACAGTGCTGCCTGCCTGGGGCCCCCACAGAAGGAGCCCAGTGTTCAAGTGTGCCGGGGAGATCTGCAGATAAGGACTGGTGGGGAATGCCGCGAAATGGATCGTTAAGGGGGAAAAGTCAAGTTGCGGAACAGCACAATCCCGTGTAGGTGGACCAAAAAGATACACAGACAGACACACAGATCTCCACTAAAGTTCCAGAGAAAACCCAAGAGAACGTTGATTGTGGCTGCCTTTGCGGAGGGGGCCGGAGGCGTGGCCTGAGGCTTAAACGTTGCACCCTCCATGGCGTTTATAAGTTTACCATGAGCACGTGTTGTTGAATCCGTAAGAAAAGCAGGTTTTTACTCATCCTGTTTTGAACACAGATGCTAATGAAGTCTTGGCAACATGCAGACATTGCTGGTGGTGGTTCCTTTGTTTATAAACTTCTCCTTTTTTGCAGAAGCTCAGTGCTGGTCTTCCCAACCCCAGTTCTGCTGAGGGCTGGTCCTGAATGCAGCGTCCCACAGCCCCAGGTACATTCCCAAGCACATGCTGAGGCCCAGAGCATTAAGGGTGCACCACACGCTGCCACTCAAGTGGCAGAGTTTAGAGGGTGGTCTTGTCCAGGCCCCTCCCCGCTGCCAGCCCGGGCCACACTGAGCCTGCCCCACACCCTGTGGCGGGGGCTCCAAGGCCCTCTGTGGAAGGCCTGCTGGCCTCAGGTTGAGGCTCCTCCCAAGACCCGTGTCCAGCAAGACCTGGGTTTGCCAAGATGACCCAAGGGCAGGGGCAGCAGCCGTGGTCATGGAGACCCCGCCCGGACTCAGCCCCTGACAAGGGTCCCTCTGGGGACTGCACAGCCTGGGCAAGGGTTGAGGGTCTGCCCCTCTCCTGCCAGGGGAGGCACCAGCACTCTGTCCAGCCCTGAGGTCCGGCCCAGGGTGATTCCTTCTTGAGGAGGAGGACAGCAACGCAGCCCGGGGCACGCAGCCTGCGGCGGTCCACACACGCCAAACAGATTAAGGGCCCTTTTGCAGCCACAGTGCCCGGGCCTCACAAGTGCTGTGAACGGGACCCTGCACGTGGCCCAGCACCGTAAGCGCAGGTCTGCCCAGCAAACGCCCTGTGGTGAGCGTGGGGCTCAGTGGCCGCTGATGGAGACGCAGAACCTGGGGCCTCGCACAGCATGGCCCCCAGGCGCCAGGTTCCCCAGCCACACTGTCCCCGCACATCCTGGCGAGGTGCTCTCCTCCCAGCTCCCTGCGAGGAGCCCCTGCCTGTCACCAGAGACCAAAGGTGTGGGGACGATGCCATGGATTCCCCTCTTTGCTTCCAGACACGCTCGCTCTCAGGCTTGTCCATGGAGCTCCGAGCAGGGCCTGGGGCCTGGCTGCGGAGAGTGCCTCCTGCACACTGCGCCTGCTCAGAGTGCACATCTGAGGGTGGTGGCCAGCGTTTGAGAAGGACTCAGGAAGCAACCTCCCCCACCCCCAGCACAGGTGCTGGAGCGGCCCCTTGGTGAGTGGCAGAGCTGGCCTCCCGGGCATGGCTCGTGCTCGCAGACAGCAGTGTTCACGGGCACTGGCGAGGCTGCCTGCTCCATCGTCCAGGACCAGGCAGGCTGACCACGTCCTTTCCGGGCCCGGCCCGGTGGGAAGCTGAGGTTGGCCGTGGGAATCCCAGGCAGTGCTGGGTCAGGGACTCTGTCCTCTGCCCACCATCCCAACAAAAAGTCAAGGGTACATCTGTCAGCCCCACCCCAAATCACATGCAGGAACGGGTAATGTTTTTCCCAAACCTTTTAGAATAAAGCCTACTACTTTGCAGAAAGTGACCAAACCCTATATATATACTTTTTTCAGTAAAAAGCCACAGAAGGTCGGAGTCAATGCTATGTGGTGAGTGGATCATGGCTCCACACTCCCAGCCCCGCAGGGACAGGCGCCCACTTGTCCCTACCTGCTCCCCTGGCCGGTGGCTCTGAGGCCTCCCCAGGGTGGGACCTTCCCACCATGGGGCTGGCCTGGCTCTGGCCGGGGACATGAGTGGATGGGACACAGCACTCATGGGACTCGTGTGGCTGGTCTGACACCCCCCTCGCCCCTGACCCAGGAGAAGAGACACATGCAGCAGAGCAAACTGCCAGCCAGGACCAGCCTGGAAGAGCTGCCTGGGGCCCTGGAGGCCCACAAGCCTGCGCGCCACCTGCTCTACCCCTATGGGGACACTTCCATGACTGCAGCTGACCAGTCCACCTGCCAGCGGTTGACCACTCCCACTTCGCCAGCGACCGAAGGGGAGGGGAGGGGCCTCACCTGAGGGCAACAGCAGAACCCACCACCTGGTCTTGCTTTACTCAGACCTGAGGGTGTGAAAGGTGCCCGTGACCTCCCGCATCAGGGAGCTGGCCGCCACCCTCGACTCCCGGGGAGCAGGCGTCCCGCGACCCCCTCATCTACCAGGCCATCTGAGCTGGGCGGCGCCTCACCTCCGCTCCCGGGGGAGCCGGCCTCAGGGTAGGCATGCGCCCTGGGTGGGAGCAGGTCGTGGCCGCCGCCCTCCTGGCAGCTCTGGCTGAGCAGCCGCCGCAGCATCTGATTCTCCTTCAGGAGGCGCACCTGCTTCTTCAGGTCCGCGTTCTCGCTCAGGAGCCGGCTCATCAGCTCGCCGCCTTCAGCCATGGCGGGTGCGTCCCTCCTTGTCCCTCACGGCTCCTGCAGCCCCATGGAGGTGGGAGCCCAGAGCCCGCAGGCACCACAGAAACAGCCCAGGCACGGAGTTCCGTAGCCACCACCGCCTTCCACGCCTTGTGATGTCACTGCCCTAGTGATGAGGTGCCCAGCACCCTGCCTGCCCCCGCGATGGCTCATGGCCCCGTTGAGGCAGTGAAGCTGGAGGCCCGTGGCGTGCACAGGCAGCCACTCCCACATTATGACCAGGGCCCGAGAATGCCAAGGACATTAGGCAGCTACGGGATGTAGCGACTGTACTCCAAGAGGGGCGTCCAAGCCACTCCCCATTGAGCGGCCCAGCCAGGGTCGGGTGTCCACCCTGTGTGGTGTCCTCAAGCTGGGTGGGGACGCTGCCTTCACCCGAGTAACATGTGGGCTGCACTTCCCATAGGACCTGCCCAGGACACAGGGTTCCCAGTGCAGCTTCCTGTGGACCCTGGCACCCAGGGCAGCAACTGATGTGCAGGTGTTCATCAGGGTCCGTCCTTGGCACCCACACTTGAGGAGGGAGGGACTGGCAAGGGCAGTGGGAGGAGACCAGCATGTGGGGGAGACCAGCCTGGTGGGGAGACCAGCTTGTGGGGGAGACCAGTCTGCGGGGGAGACCAGCCTGGGGAGGAGACCAGCCTGCAGGGGAGACCAGCTTGCGGGGGAGACCAGCCTGCGGGGGAGACCAGCCTGGGCGGGGAGATCAGCCTGGGGGAGGAGACCAGCCTGGTGAGGAGACCAGCCTGGGGGAGGAGACCAGCCTTGTGGGGGAGACCAGCCTGCGGGGGAGACCAGCCTGGGCGGGGAGATCAGCCTGGGGGAGGAGACCAGCCTGGTGAGGAGACCAGCCTGGGGGAGGAGACCAGCTTGCGGGGGAGACCAGCCTGCGGGGGAGACCAGCCTGGGCGGGGAGATCAGCCTGGGGGAGGAGACCAGCCTGGTGAGGAGACCAGCCTGGGGGAGGAGACCAGCTTGCGGGGGAGACCAGCCTGCGGGGGAGACCAGCCTGGGCGGGGAGATCAGCCTGGGGGAGGAGACCAGCCTGGTGAGGAGACCAGCCTGGGGGAGGAGACCAGCCTTGTGGGGGAGACCAGCCTGGGGGAGGAGACCAGTCTTGCGGGGGAGACCAGCCTAGGGTGGGGAGACCAGCCTGAGGCAGCCCCACGATGGCCCCCACATGCTTTGGAGCACTGGGTGGCCCTGAGGGCTGGGCTGGAGGCCACCTACTGACCTCACTCCCTGATGAGAAGGGTCCAGCAGTGCATGTCCACCCCTCAGACCACGAGCGCCCGTGTCTAAGACACCAATTGTTCCTGACTGCACTGCTCCTGCCTGCACGTAACTGAGGACGCCCCCAACCCATGGCCACGGCCCCTCGGGCCGTCACACAGGGCTGCGGCTCATGGGGCCCTGCTAGAGCAGGCGTCTGTCCTCAGTCAGTGCGACCGACTTGAAACCCACCCTGACTCCCTGCTTCAATTACTTGGGAAAGTAAATCACCTCAGTGTTGTTTCTTGGCTCCGAGGGTCTTGTTTTATCAGCAGCCGGGATGCAACAGATGGGTCATCTCATCCTCATGGGAAGGGACGTACGGCAGAAAGCACAACCCAGTGGGCCGGCCACACCTCCAGCCCTGTGACGGGCACCCACCACCACCAACCCAGTGGGCCGGCCACACCTCCAGCCCTGTGACGGGCACCCACCACCACCAACCCAGTGGGCCGGCCACACCTCCAGCCCTGTGACGGGCACCCACCACCACCAACCCAGTGGGCCGGCCACACCTCCAGCCCTGTGACGGGCACCCACCACCACCAACCCAGTGGGCCGGCCACACCTCCAGCCCTGTGATGGGCACCCACCACCACCACCATCCCAGTGGGCCGGCCACACCTCCAGCCCTGTGACGGGCACTCAGGACCACCAAGGGCACTCAGGTGCAGATGCCCCTGGGAGAACACCACCTTCATTCAGCCCGGGCGGCCAGATTAGGGGAAGGTTGCTTCTAGGAGAGAAAGTCTTGAGTCAGGCTTTGTGGAGAAAGGAGGTTTCTACACCCCAAGCGTTCCTGACACAACCCAACCAGCCTGGTGTTGCACCACAGGGCTCACACCTCAGATCAAGACAACGGGGGCCCAGCCACAGCCCACTGACGAGGGCATGCAGGGCGTCCAGGATGCAGGGCAGAGAGAGAAGCGAGGGATGAGTCACGGATGCGCCCCCCGCTCTGAGCCCGACGGGGCCCTGAATGGCTTTTCCTGCCCTGGCTCCTCCCATCATATTTTAAATGCCGTCTTCCTCCCGCTCCAAGGAAACCTTCTCTTGACGTCAGGTACTCTCCAGCCACGGACCTATCAACATTCTGACAGTTTTCTGGTCTTGACACATTATCCTTTTAATATAGCGCTGGATTCAATTTATTAATATTTTAAGTATTTTTATGCTCACAGGGGAAGTCGATCTGAATCTCCTTTTCTTGTGATGTCTCGGTCTGGCTTTGGAACACTGGCCTTTTAAAATGAGCCGCAGAGATTCTGCGCCATTTTCTGGGTGTTCCTTCTTAAACGTCGGATAGAATTCATCTGTGAAGCTATCTAGAACTAGATTTCTTCTGGAAAAGTTTTAAATTTCTAAATCAATTTCTTAAATAGATACAACGCTACTTATATTTTATATTTTTCCCTCATGTGCGTTTTGCTGACAATTGTGGCTGTCAGGTAGTTTGTTGATAATAGGGGAGGCTGTGCATTTGTTGGGGCAGCGAGTGGGGAAATCTCTCTATCTTCCTCTCAATTTTGCTAAGAACCTAAAACTCCTCTTAAAAAAGTCTTGAAAAAGACAAAAGCACGAAGGAAACCAGAGAATATTTCAAGTTGAATGAGAATAAAAACATGACATTAGAATTTGTGGGGTGTAGTTAAAGCTTGATGCCCGTGCTCCACAACCACAGGAAATGGACAAACCCTACCAAAGTTATCAAAAGAGAAGGACACCCCATCTGTAGAAAACAGTCAGAAGATTAGGCAGATGTGGTGGTGCGTGTCTGTTGTCCCAGCTACTCGGAACACTGAGGTGGGAGGATTGCTTGAGCCTGGGAGGTCGAGGCTACAGTGAACTGTGGTTGCGCGGCTGTGCTCTAACTTGCGTGACAAAGTGAGACCCTGTCTCAATAAAATACTTTAATTAATGAAACTGAAACTTTCTGCTCTGCAAAGAATGTCAAGAAAATGAAAAGACAAGTCAGAGACTGGGAGAATATTTTTGAAACGTCCTGCAGCAAAGTGGTACTTTTTTGAGACAAGGTCTTGCTCTATTGCCCAGGCTGAAGGGCAAGTGGCATGATCACGGCTCACTGCAGCCTCAAATGCCTGGGCTCAAGAGATCCTCCTGCCTCAGCCTCCCAAGCAGCTGGGATTACAGGCGCGCACACCCACACTCAGTCCCAGAGTGGTCCATTTGTTACAGCTGATGAATCTACATGGACACATCGTCACCACCCAAAGCCCACAGTTTACAATGGGGCTCACTCTTGATGCTGCACATTCTCTGGCTTTGGACAAATGTATAATGACCTGTATCCACCATCACAGTGTCAGGCCAGAGCAGTTTCGCTACGCCTATAGTCCCAGCTACTCAGGAGGCTGAGGCAGGAGAATGGCGTGAACCCGGGAGGCAGAGCTTGCAGTGAGCCAAGATCGCGCCACTGCACTCCGGCCTGGGCGAAAGAGCGAGACTCCGTATCAAAAAAAAAAGAAAAGGCTGAAGACCTTAACAGACACCGCACCAAAGAAGATACACAGTTGTTAAATAAGCATATGAAAAGATGTTCCACATCATATGTCATCAGGGGAATGCAGATTAAAACTACCAATATACCTTTTAGAGTGGCCAAAATCCAGAACACTGCCACCACCAAATGCTGCTGAGGACGTGGAGTAACAGGAACTCATTGTTGGTGGGAATGCAAATTGGCACAGCCACTTTTGTTTGTTTGATTTCTTTTTTGTCTTTTTTGAGACGAAGTCTCTCTCTGTCACCCAGGCTGGAGTGCAGTGGCACAATCTCGGCTCACTGCAAGCTCTGCCTCCCGGGTTCACGCCATTCTCCTGCCTCAGCCTCCCGAGTAGCTGGGACTACAGGCGCCTGCCACCGTGCCCGGCTAATTTTTTTTATTTTTAGTAGAGACGGGGTTTCACCGTGTTAGCCAGGATGGTCTTTATCTCCTGACCTTGTGATCCGCCCACCTCGGCCTCCCAAAGTGCTGGGATTACAGGCGTGAGCCACCGCACCCGGCCCCTTCAGCCCATTTTTTAACCAGGTTGTTTTATTGTTGGGTTTGAAGAGCTCTTTTGGATACTGATCCTTTGTCTTTTTCAAATATATTCTCCCAGTCTCTGACTTGTCTTTTCATTTTCTTGACATTCTTTGCAGAGCAGAAAGTTTCAGTTTCATTAATTATTTTATTGAGACAGGGTCTCACTTTGTCACGCAAGTTAAGAGCACAGCCGCGCAACCACAGTTCACTGTAGCCTCGGCCTCCCAGGCTCAAGCAATCCTCCCACCTCAGTGTTCCGAGTAGCTGGGACAACGGGCACGCACCACCACACCTGCCTAATCTTCTGACTGTTTTGTACAGATGGGGTTTCACTGTTATCCAGGCTGGTCTCCAACTCCTGAGCCCAAGTGACCCTCCCACCTTGGCCCCTCAAAGTGCTGGGACTACAGGCATGAGCCAGAAATGTATTATTTTAATGAAGCCCAACCTATTAATGTTTTCTTTCGAGGATCATGCCTTTGGTGTCATATCTAAAGAGTTACTGCCAAACCCAAGGTCACCTAGATTTCCTCCTATGTGATGTTCTAGGGGTTTTATAGTTTTGTTTTACATTTAGGTCTCTGATTGATCTTGAGTATGTCTAGATGTGAAGGGTATGTCAAGGTTCATTTTTTTTTTACAAATGGAGTTTGTTTCAGCATTTGTTGAAGGCTGTCCTTTCTCCATTGAACTGCCTTTGCTCCTTTGCCACTGATTTTCAATTCAGTTTAACTCCACTGTGGTGGGGGAGGATGCTGTGTGTGACTTCCGTCCTTGCTAACATACTGAGACTCACCTGGTGAGCCAGCTGTGGTCTACCTTAGCACATGGGCCACGAGCTCTTGCAAAGCCGTGTGCTTCAGCAGTGTTAGGTGAAGCATCCTCTAAAGACCGCTCGCTTGTGTTGGCTGATGTTCAAATCTCTGTCCTTACAGATCTCATGTCTGTCAGTTACAAAGTACGGAAAGCACCCGTTAAAATTCTGTTTTTATCTCATTCTCTTCAATTCTGCCATTTTGCTTCATGTATTTTGAAGCTGTTATTTAGTGCATATACATTTGGGGTTGTTATGTCTTGATAAATCGATCTTATCATTATTGTCTCTTTACTCATTTCTGGTACCGTTCCTTGTCCTACCGTCTATGTTGATATTAAAAATATCAAGAGTCTGAAACTTTACATCATAGTGAACAAAGAAAACCTAATATGATGCCAGGGAAAAGATTTCAGGATGTTCAAAATCTGTTCCTGATAAAAATAATCTGAATTCAAAAATCTTTCATGACTGATTTTTAATCACACTGAGGCAAATATCCCCCTCAGACAGAGGCTGCACCGGTACAGCTGCCATCTCCTCTTGGTGGTGTCCTTTGTCAAGAGCATGTCAGGGTGATGAGTCATCTGGGACAGGTCACCCTCCCAGCACCGAGAAGCCGACGGGGGAGGAACAGACTCCTCTGCATTGTGATCCAATTGTGAACAAAAAGTCCTCTTCGTGGAACAGGAAAAATACACTCCCTCTAAACAATGGATTGAACACAGATGTGATTTCTAAAGAAGACTGAAGGCAGGGATACTGACACTGAAGTCCTGCCTGTGTAATAACACCGAAGAGGGCAGGGAATCGCTGCGTCCTGTGACTTGAAGGCCACTGTGAAGGAAAACAATGCAGTGAAAGAAAGTTCCTCCTATGTGGACATTGTATCACGTTTATTTATCTTCCTGGATATGCTTATGGCCTTTAAAACATATTAAAATAGGCTATGCTATTATCTCTTAAAATATCTGTTTTCCCTCAGGTAACTGGAGACGCACCCTGCTACTCCTCACGTCACTCTTGTTCCCTAAACCAGGCTGGGCCTCCCACTCGCCCCACAGGCAGGTGACGTATGACAGCCAGAAACCCCAAATCTGCAGTTCTCCCCAGGATGAAACGAAACACAGTGTGACAGGCTTCTGATAAGGGAATCAATGTCTGTTTATTAAGGCAGATGCTCATAAAAGTGACTTTCAGTAACATTTTCAGTATAAAAATGGATTTACATTTCATTTCTGGAAAACCGTTTTGTACAGTCTGACCATGGCTAGGAGTCCCAGGGACAGCAGCCTCTGCTCAGGGCAGACTCTGTGATTCACTGTCTGTCCTGCTGCTACCCCACGTGGGGGAGAACACGTGGGCTGAGAAAAAAAAACAGCATGTGCAAACCTGACAGATGTCAAGGGTCCCAACACAGTTCCTTCAGCGAAAATAAAGCCCAGTTTTAAGATGTGCAGGGAAGTGTTGACACTGAACAGGCAGCTGACCAAGCCCTGCAGGGCTCTGAGCAGGCAGGCGAGTCCCAAGGAGAGTCAGTGACAGCACATGGGGCAAGGGAGCTGGACAGAAGACCCCAGAGGGTGCGGCACCTGGGTGAGAGCCCTGGACTGCACACCAAGGCAGAGGGGTGCCCCTGAAGGACTCTGGGCAGGCAATGACAGGATCTGAGGGTGTCCAGACGCAGATCTCCACTGCCTGAGGGAGAGTGATCAGCCAGGGGGAGAGGCCAGGGACTGCTACCTGCCCAGAAGGCGGCAGGGAGGGGAAGAGCAGATAAGGAGGTATAGGGTGTGCCCTGGGCAAGGCAGCAGGGGTAACGAAGCTCTCAGTGACTCCTCCCAGTAGCCAGGGGAGAGCAGTGACAGTCTCAGGTGGCCCTGAGCATGTGAGCTGCTCATCCACATCAGGCAAAGGCAAAGCCAGGACCTGAACTTCCCACCCCAAGCCCTACATCCATGCAAGCCAGACCAGACTGGGTCAGAGGCTAGAAGGGAGCTCACAGGATTGCCTGGGGAAGCCTCGGCCCAAAACCTGGCCCTCGCTCCAGCCCAGAGCACCCACCTGGGCATGAGACTGGCGGCAGCCGTAGGGGTGCCCTGGGTATATGCCGGGCTCCCAGGGTGCCATACCTGCCAGCCAGCCCAGGGAGTGGTGATGGGCTGGGTGCTGGCTGTCCCTGCACATAGCAGTGCCCCGCGGCAGTAACTACAACTGCTGCCTGCCCCTCACCCCTGGTTATGCTCGGCCTCCCCTGTGCATTTCTGTGTCCGTAAGTGTCCCCTGTGCATTTCTGTGTCCACAAGACTACTATAAACCCTGTAGACACCTCACAAACAGCATTCCACGCAGGTGGGTTCATGTCCCAGGGGCATGGGGCTCCCTGCTGCACAGACTTGGGATGTTCCATGACAGACCCTGCATATGCAGGCGAGCTCACAACCCAGGGGTATGCGGCTCCATGACACCACCCCATACTCAGGCGAGCTCACGACCCAGGGGCATGAGGCTCCATGACACCACCCCATACGCAGGCAAGCTCACGACCCAGGGGCATGGGGCTCCCTGCTGCACGGCCTCAGGATGCTCCATGAGCAACCCCCGCACTGGGCTATTCACGGATGCACACTACCTGCCATTGTCACAGGGTTGCCCTCGTGTCCCTCAGCCCAGCAGACAAAAGGTGCAGGAGAAGCCTGCCCAGGGCCGACCCCAGCCCAGAGCCCACTCGACACTAAGGAATCACACAGGCACAGCTGCTCCTCTCCCAAGAACTCAGCTATTGGTCAGAAAAAACCTCCTAGCCTCACTACCTTGAGGCCGTGCCCAGAGGTGGCAGAAGGCGCTGTGCCTCCTCAGGGGTCACGGCTCCTGTGCCCCCTTCCTCACCCAAGCCCGACAAGCTACTTTCAGAAATGAACCTACAGTAAAAATCAAGAGTCTAAGCCACCCACCCTGTCCCCATCCCTGCCTCCAGCCTGGCCCCCAGATTCACATCTATGAGATAGAGGTTGAGGGGTTGGAGCCCAAGACAGGGTTATGGGAGGGCTCCCCAACCCGGCCAGGACCCCTTGGCCTCACTGGAACGCACAGACGGCACCCAGCAGGTAGGCATGTTCTCAGGGGTGGCCAGCAAGGGCTCTCTCAGGGTACAGCTGGGAGAAGCGGCCGAGGGCCCAGATGGGGAAGATGTTCCTGTAGCTCGTGTAGGAGATGGCACAGGACTTGTTGAAGACCCCAGCAATGTTTTCCTAAAAGAACACAGAGAAATAAACACAAAGGCTTCACCAGTCAGCTGAGGGCTAGTCCCTGAACTGGAGCCCTGGCTGTTGGCTTGGCTGGCTTGTGGGTGAGTCAGCCTGGAAAGGGCTAATTAAGCAAGAGCATAGGAAAGCAAGTAGTCCATCCCGCATCAGTCATGGCACCATCAGCCCAGCTCAGACTCCCCGCCCTGCAGCAAACCCTAAGCCAGGGTCACCAGCCCCTCACAACCACATCAGCTTCCACCAACTCAGCCTCATCCCAGGGGAGGGCGGTTGGCCTCACATGACCTCATGACACCCACACCACAGGGACTTCTGGCTCAGTGAGGGGCCACTAGGTCATCTGGAGTGGGAGGGTCTGTCCTGCAGCAAAAAGGCTTCCCGCCCACTGGCTTCTCCCATCCAGCTCCTCCCCCACCCAGAGCATCACTTGAAACAACAGCAAGATCTGGACTTTAGGACCCGACCACCTGCCACAGACCTGCCACCAACTGTGGCATTCACTGGCAGAGGTGACGCCTCCCAAGTGTCCAAAGTACCCCAAAAAGGACACAGAGCAGGGGGACGTGGAAACAGCCATGCACGCTGGAGGTCAGTGCTGGGCCTTGTGCGCTCAGGTCCCTGGCGGCATACCTGCGGCCAGTCGCCATTGGGGAGCTGTTTCTCAAGTAGACACCGGACTCCTCTCTCCTGGGCCTCGATGTCAGGATGCCTGGTGGAAGAGAAGGCTGAAACACACCCAGCATGCATGCCCCCACAGCATCATCCTCACCCTCACACAGCCGAGCATAAGGGCAAACCCTGGAATGCTGCAGTGAGAATGGATGGGTCTAAACTGACGCCCACAGGCCCCGCCAGGTGCAGCCAGCGCCTCGGGCTCTTGCCACACCTTCTTCCTAGGCTCCCTGAGAAGCGGAGCCACAGCAATGACAGGCTGGGGACACAGGCCTCCTCAGGCCTGCCCTGGTGTTCCCCCCTGAAGAGGACGCCAAGCCTTGTTCCCAACTGGCCCACTGGTCCTCATGGGCCTCTGGAGACCCACAGGAGCTCACACTTGCTTGCTGGCCAGGATAAGACACCAAGAAGGATCCAGGGCTCAGCGGGCCCAGCTCAACTGTGGGTCCCTGACTGTCCTGCCCTCAGGGGTCCCCCAGACCCTGCTGCTCCTGCTCAAGCAGACCTGCCCTAGCTTTTAGGGTTTTAGGAAGATTCCCCAAATGGCCACAAACCTAATAGGGCAGCACAGACGGGATGTTGCGGGTGCATCTGTATGTATGTGTGCACAGGTGCCTGTGCATGTGTACATGTGTGCATAGACCTGTATGTACATCTGTCTCCATGTACGTATGTCTGTGTGGCACAGATGCGATACTGCGGGTGCATCTGCATATGTGTGCACAGGTGCCTGTGCATGTGTACATGTGTGCATAGACCTGTGTGTGCATCTGTCTCCATGTACGTATGTCTGTGTGTGGCACAGATGGGATACTGCGGGTGCATCTGCATGTGTGTACACAGGTGCCTGTGCATGTGTACATGTGTGCATAGACCTGTGTGTACATCTGTCTCCATGTACGTATGTCTGTGTGTGGCACAGATGGGATACTGCGGGTGCATCTGCATATGTGTGCACAGGTGCCTGTGCATGTGTACATGTGTGCATAGACCTGTATGTGCATCTGTCTCCATGTACGTATGTCTGTGTATGGCACAGATGGGATACTGCGGGTGCATCTGCATGTGTGTACACAGGTGCCTGTGCATGTGTACATGTGTGCATAGACCTGTATGTGCATCTGTCTCCATGTACGTATGTCTGTGTGTGGCACAGATGGGATACTGTGGGTGCATCTGCATGTGTGTACACAGGTGCCTGTGCATGCATACGTGTGTGCATAGACCTGTGTGTGCATCTGTCTTCATGTACCTATGTCTGTGTGTGGCACAGATGGGATGCTGTGGGTGTATCTGCATGTGTGTACATAGGTGCCTGTGCATGCGTATGTGTGTGCACAGACCTGTGTGTGCATGTGTCTCCATGTACCTACGTCTGTGTGTGTCACAGATGGCATGCTGTGGGTGTATCTGCATGTGTGTACACACGTGCCTGTGCATGCGTATGTATGTGTGTGCACAGACATGTGTGTGCATCTGTCTCCATGTACCTACGTCTGTGTGTGTCACAGATGGTATGCTGTGGGTGTATCTGCGTGTGTGTACACAGGTGCCTGTGCATGCGTATGTATGTGTGTGCACAGACCTGTGTGTGCATCTGTCTCCATGTACCTACGTCTGTGTGTGGCACAGATGGGATCCTGTGGGTGCATCTGTACGTGTGTGTACACAGGTGCCTGTGCATGCGTATGTGTGTGCATAGACCTGTGTGTGCATCTGTCTCCATGTACCTATGTCTGTGTGTGGCACAGATGGGATGCTGTGGGTGTATCTGCATGTGTGTACACAGGTGCCTGTGCATGCGTATGTATGTGTGTGCACAGACCTGTGTGTGCATCTGTCTCCATGTACCTACGTCTGTGTGTGGCACAGATGGGATCCTGTGGGTGCATCTGTACGTGTGTGTACACAGGTGCCTGTGCATGCATACGTGTGTGCACAGACCTGTGTGTGCATCTGTCTCCATGTACCTATGTCAGTGTGTGGCACAGATGGGATGCTGTGGGTGCATCTGTATGTGTGTGGACACAGGTGCCTGTGTGGGCATGCGTACGTGTGTGCATAGGCCTGTGTGTGCATCTGTCTCCATGTACATCTGTGTGTGCACATCAGTGTGTACACTGATGCCTGCCTGCATGCGTCTGCGTGTGTGTGCACCTGGCACATATGTGGCTCAGCACCAGCTGTGAACACAGTAGGGCCACAGAGAGCAGCTGCTGTGACCGTCATCACTACCACACCAGGAAGCAGCATCCTCATCGCAGCCCACCTCGCTGTTTCCATGGGTCCCTGATGTGCTTGCTCTTCCACTGACATGGCTAATGGTGGGTGGTTCACTTCTAAGAGGCGAGCCTCTCTGCAGGGCCCCACTTGGTCAGAGCAGCCCACGTTCTTGCCCCAGGAACCAGGCATGTGGCTCTTGTAGGTGTCTGTTCCCAGAGTGGCAGCTGACCTGGCCCACAGGCCTCCCCTCCTCTCTACATTCACTCAGCCCAGGCCACCGGCTCACAGCTGAGTGTCCCTCCTCTACCCAAACCCAAGGCTCAGGGACGGTCCCGTCGTCCCCACCGAACGGCCATCAGCCCCATCATGGCCCAGCATGTGTTATGGATCTGGGACTGGGCACTCTGCAAATAACGCCGCTCCTCGCAGGACTCAAAGTCCTCCCCCCAGCCTCCGTCTGCCATCTGCCGGGACAGCAGGAAGTCACAGGCCCGGGAGACCTCTGCACAGGCAGTCCTGCAAAGACCAGAGACAGGAGACACCATCACACCAAGGAAGGTCCCAGACCCCTGGCTTCTCACCCCAGCAGGCTGCCTTGGGGTACGGGGAGGAGCCTGCACGATGGGGCCACCCTACCTAAGGGCCATGGGCCACTACTGAAACCCGAGCTTGACTTTTGCAGATGTGAACTGGGAACAGATACTCCTGCCTCCCAGAGTCGCTGGGAAGACAAAGGGACATGCGAGTACCGAGGATGGCCTCACGGACGCGTCAGGCTGAGTGAGGTCTGCAGTGCTTGGGAGCAGCGTCTCACAAGCTGCACTCAGCCAAGCACGGTGCTCCCCACCTCTAAACATCCACACGGCAGACTCTGGGAGACAGTGGGGCAGCTGGAGACAGGGCTGGGAGAGAGTCCGGCGGCTGGAGACACGGCTGGGACCGGAGATCTCCTGCCTTCTAACCCGCTCCAGCGAGGCCGTGGACCCTAATCTTCCTACTCAGGGTTGGGAGGCATCTGTATGCCTGGAGGGGCCGGAGACCAGAAGCGTCCCTCCAGCATACATGTCAGGAAGCTCCAGAGAGCTGTGGGACCAGGGAAACATCTTCATTTCAACCGGGGATCTTATCTCACTGTTTAAAAATATTAAAAACAGGCCAGGCACATTGGCTCATGCCTGTAACCCCAGCACTTTGGAAGGCCGAGGTAGGAAGACTGCTTGAGCCCAAACCAGTGTGAGCAACACAGCAAGACTCCATCTCTACATAAAAGTTTTAAAAGATTAGCCCGGGGTGGTGGCGTGCACCTGTGATCCCAGCTACTCGGGAGGATCGCTTGAGCCCACGAGTTTGAGACTGCAGTGAGCTAGGATCATGCCACTGCATGTCAGCCCGGTTGACAGAGCGAGACTCCGTCTCAAAAACAAACAAACAAACAAACAAACCCTAAAACCAAATGTCAAAGCAAAAAACACTCATGACAGAGCATTGGGTTGAGAACCCCCACCCACCAGAGGACAGGCACTCACTCACCCATCTCGGTAGGTCTGCCCCATACAGGCGAAGGCCTCCAGGCCAAACCAGGTGCCGTAGGTGAAGCAAACTCCCCAGGAGCTGGAGGGAAACAGGGAGAGCCTCAGCCCTTCCACCCTGTTCACAGCCGGTGTGTGAAACAACACGCATTCTGCAACAATCACACGTGCCCCAGCCAGCCCACCAACTCCAGTGCCTCAGGCATTAAGGCCGTGGAAGACAGCAGCTCTGTCTGCTGGACCCTAAGAGCAAGCAGAAAGGGTGGAGGGAATAGCCACGCTCAGGCTACAGCGCGCTCCCAGCAGCCCGGCTGCGCCCAGCAACGTACTGAGCAATTTCCACCGGGGCAAAGGCCACGCATGCCACAAAGGAACGAGGTCCCCCAGAAGTCACGGGCTGGCAGCTCACTTCCAGAAACTTCTGGTGTAGCAACAACATACAAGCCAACATTTATGAACGCAGTGTGTGAGAGCAGAAACCTGTGGATCCCGTGCATCTCTGCACTCACGAGTGGAGGCTCACTCACCCTTCCCAGGAGCCATCGGCCCTCTGCTGCCGCCGACAGAACTCTAAGCCCTGCGTGAGGGTCTCCCTGGAACACGAGATTGGTCCAGTGAACATTCTGGTAAAACAGCAGTTTACCTATCCCAATTCCATCCTTTCCAGGGTCTCAAAAGAATGAGAATGGTCTCCCTTAAAAACCACATAAAAATAAACAGTTTACACAGACCGATGAGGGTTTTAAAAAGAAGCAACCACAGGACACCAGAGCGGGAAGCGGATTGGCAGAGTCTGAGAAAGGGACGTGAGGGGAAAGCAAGGCCTTGGGAAGCCCCTGCAGACACAGCTGCAAACAGGAGCAGCATCCCTGAGATCCAGTGACCCAGGCTTGAGCAAACCCAACAAAGTGAACTAAATAAAAACAGGAAAAAATCAATTAGAGAGAAAACAATAGATTTAGAAGACAAGACCCATCCTACATCTAACTGATATTTCCAAAAAATAACCAGTTCTCTGAAAAGGCCAGAGCGAAGTGTCTACTCCAGTGTCACCCTGTGGGACGTGGGACTTGTCTTTAACCAGCAGATCACGGCAGGGTTGATGGGTGCGGGTCCTGGGACCGAGGTCTGTGTGACCGCGACTCCCATGGTGCTAGCAGACTCCCTCTACCAACTCTCCCTTCTCGCTTTTGTGAAGATGCCATCTAGAGAGGCCCCGCAGCAGACGGTAGTCGGCAGCTTCCAGCTGAGGAATGGGATCGTGCCGAGGACCCTGTGTGCTCAGAGGCAGATCCTTCCTCACTGGAAGCTCAGGCGAGACCCCGGTCCTGGCTAACACCCTGACTGAAGCCCGGAGAGACCCTGAGGCAGAGGACGACCTGCGAGGCCGCGCCTGGACTTCTGACACACAGAAACGGTGAAGTAATCAATGTGTGTTGTTCTAAGCCACTAGGTTTGTACTAATATTGTTACTCGGCAACAGGTAACAAATACAAATAGTCAAAGTACAAATTAGTAATATTAGCAATAAAAAGATAGAACTACAGATATGGTGAGAAATGACAAGAAAGTTTTATGTATTACATTTGCAAACTTAGAGAAAATATCTACAAATTAGAAAGATTAACTTATCAAAACTGGCTCAATCAAGAAATAGAGAACCTAAACAGTCCTAAAACTACTAAAAAAATGAGTCAAAATGTAAACTTTTCCCAGAAAAAAAACTCTAGGCCTAGGAATTTTATAAATGAATGCAACTAAATTATCAGACACACTCATTCTAATCTCACACAAACTCTTCCAGAGAACAGAAAGGAGGAACACTCTCTAGCTCATTCTAGGAACCCAGAGAAATAAGATATGGAAAAGTGAAAATTTCAGGCTCACTCATGAACACAGATGCAAAACTCCAAATTAAAACTGAGAAACTGCTGCCGGGCGCAGTGGCTCACGCCTTGTAATCCCAGCACTTTGGGAGATCGAGGTGGGCAGATCACGAGGTCAGGAGATTGAGACCACCCTGGCTAACATGGTGAAACCCCGTCTCTACTAAAAATACAAAAAATTAGCTGGGCATGATGACAGGCGCCTGTAGTCCCAGCTACTCGGGAGGCTGAGGCAGGAGAATGGCGTGAATCCGGGAGGCAGAGCTTGCGGTGAGCTGAGATTGTGCCACTGGACTCCAGCCTGGGAGACAGAGACTCTGTCTCAAAAAAAAAAAACAAAAAACAAAAAACAACTGAGAAACTGAATACTGTCTTAAATATAGACCAATACTAAGGTCGATCTCAGAAATACAAAGGTGTCTTAACATTAGAAAAATCCATAATAATCCTCTAAATTAACAAAGGACACAAATATATAATCATCTCAAAGCAGACGGGAGTTTGAGACCAGCCTGGGCAACAGAGCAAGATCCCATCTCTACAAAAAAATTGAAAAATTAGCTGAACGTAGTGGCACATGCCTGTGGTCCTAGCTGCTCAGGAGGCTGAGACAGGAGGATTCCTTAAGCCCAGGAGTTTGAGGCTGCAGTGAGCTATGATGGCACCACTGCACTCTGCCTGGGCAACAGAGTAAGACTGCGTCCCTTAAAAAAAAAAAAAAAGGGTCAGTTGTTTTCCTACCAGCAATGAACAATTAGATTTTGACATTTAAAACACAACGCCATTTACATTAGCACCAAAAAAATGAAATCCTTAGGTATAAACAACAAAATATGTACAAGATCTATATATGATGAAAACTACAAAATTCTGATGAAAGAAATAAAAGATCTTTCCAACTTGAGCTACAGATTCAATGTAATCCCAATCAAAGTCTCAGCAAGTTATTTTGTAAACTATTGACAAACTGACTCTAAAATGTATATGGAGAGGGAAAAAACCTAGAATAGTCAAAACACTATTGAAGAGAACACTGAAGTGAGAACAGGGGCGGTAACTGACTGCAAGGCCTACTACAGAGCTACAGGAACCAAGACAGTGTGGGATTGCTGAGAAGAACAAACAGATCAATGCAATGGAACAGAGAGCTCAGAAATAGACCCATGCAAATGCAGTCAACTGATTTTTTACAAAGAAACAAAGGCAACAAAATGACCCAAAAAGAGTCTTCTTGACAGATGGTACCAAAACAACTGGACATCCACATGCAAAAAAAAAAAAAAAAAAAAAAATCTAGACACAAACCATAAACCCTTCACAAAAGTTAACTCAAAATGAATCATGGACCTAGATGTAAAATGCAAAACTTTAAAAATCCTAGAATATAACACAGGAAAAAATCTAGGTACCCTTGGGCTTGGCAGTAACTTTTTAGATACAACACCAAAAACATGATACATGAAAGAGAACATTGATAAGCTGGACTTCCTTGAAATGAAAACTGGCTCTGCAAAAGATACTGTTAATAGAATGAAAAGACAAGACACAGGCAGAAAATATTTGCGAAAGACATATCTGATAAAGGACTGGCAGCCAAAATATATGAAGAACTAAAACTCAACAATAAGAAAATTTAATTTAAAAATGAGCCAAAGACTTTAAAGGACACATCACTGAAAAAGATACACAGATGGCAAATAACTATATGACAAGATTTTAACATAATGTCATTAGGGAATTGCAAATTGAAACAAGGAGATACCACTACACACCTCTTAGAAAGGCTAAAACCCAAAACACAACAGCAAATGCTGGTGAGGATGTGGAGCAACAAAACGCTCATCATTGCTGGTGGAAACGCAAATGGTGCAGCCACTTAAGATACAGTTTGGCAGCTTCTTACAGAACTAAACACACTCTTACCATAGGATCCCGCAATCATGCTTCTTGGCATTTACCCAAATGAGCTGAAAACTTATGTGCACGCTAACATTGATAGCAACTTTATTCATAGTTGCCAAAACTTGGAAGCAAGCAAGACATTCACCTTAGTAGGTGAATGAATAAACTGTGGTACATCCAGACAATGGAATATTATTCAGCACTAAAAAGAAATGTGCTATTGAGCCATAGAAAGAGACTCAGGAATCTTAAATGCTTCTTACTAAGTGAAATAGGTCAGTCTGAAAAGGCAAAACTATGGAGACAGTAAAAATATCAGTGTTTGCTACTAAGGGGTTCTGGAGGCGGGGACAGCGCAGAGGACTCCGGGGCAGTGAGATCCTGTGTGACACTGCAGTGGTGGGCACGTGCATCACACATCTGTGAAACCACAGAATGAACAACATGAAGAGGAAGCTGAATGTAAACAATGGACTCTGGACGATAATAATTTATGAATGTTGCAAACGCACCACTTGAATGCAAGATGTTAGTACTGGGGAAACTTGAGGGAAGGTGCGAGGAGTTAGCGGCTTTATGGGAACACTGCATCTTCCACTCAAATTTTCTGTAAATTTAAAGCTGCTATAAAAGATAAAGTACATAAATTTTTTTAAAAGTTTAGCAAAATTGTCTAGCTATGAGATCAGTATCAAAATCAATTGCGTAAGAATCTATGCGTCCACAGTGATAAATAAGTAAATAAACAGAGGCAAAGGAAAAGCTTTTGGAAGAACACCAACTAATACATATGGAAGGAATGATAATTTTGTAAGCATTATGCAAATAATTGATTCAGGCAAGAATCATCATCAAATGCTAACACTAACAGGTATAAGTATGATGAGAAATAGGACGTTTACATAGTCTAAAACTGTCTCCCCACAAAGAAAAAAAAAGCAACTTCATAGCGGAGAAACTAAGTACAGCGGTCATCACCTTAATCAAGGGATCAAAGTTGGTGTGTGCTTCCTGGTAAGGTGCAGGAGAAGGCCCCATTTCTTCTGCAATCTTCCTGACAAAAATGTAGTTTCATAACCTGAATCTAATCACGAGACACCAGAAAAAAAAAAACACTGAGGATATTCTACAAAATAACTTGTGGAACAATTCAAAAATGACAAAGTCATCAAACACAAGGAAAGATTAAGGAATTATTCCAGGTTAAAAGGGTGTCAATGTGATAACTAAATGCAACCCATGTGCACAGTGAGAAGGGTAAGGAAAACAGAAAAAGAAAAGAAAAATAATTAAAAATAAACAAATGCAACCCATGATATTGGATTAAAGCTTGAGGGAAGATTTTGCCATAAAGGACATTATTGGAACAATTAGGCCTGCAGATTAGTATTTCATCAACATTAACATTCTGACTTACACTTGCACAAAAGAATACACCTGCTAAGAAATACTCAGGCAGTTAGGGGTACACATCCTATCTGCAAATTCCTTTCCAATGGTTCAAGAAAGAATGGGCCTGGATCATGTGGGAAGACAGGTAATGAAGCCCTGAGGGTAGAGCCTGGATCATGTGGGAGGACAGGTCATGAAGCCCTGAGGGTAGAGCCTGGATCACGTGGGAGGACAGGTCATGAAGTCCTCAGGGTAGAGCCTGGATCATGTGGGAGGAAGGGTCATGAAGCCCTGAGGGTAGAGCCTGGATCACGTGGGAGGACAGGTCATGAAGCCCTGAGGGTAGAGCCTGGATCACGTGGGAGGACAGGTCATGAAGCCCTGAGGGTAGAGCCTGGATCACGTGGGAGGACAGGTCATGAAGCCCTGAGGGTAGAGCCTGGATCATGTGGGAGGACAGGTCATGAAGCCCTGAGGGTAGAGCCTGGATCACGTGGGAGGACAGGTCATGAAGCCCTGAGGGTAGAGCCTGGATCACGTGGGAGGACAGGTCATGAAGCCCTGAGGGTAGAGCCTGGATCACGTGGGAGGACAGGTCATGAAGCCCTGAGGGTAGAGCCTGGATCACGTGGGAGGACAGGTCATGAAGCCCTGAGGGTAGAGCCTGGATCATGTGGGAGGACAGGTCATGAAGCCCTGAGGGTAGAGCCTGGATCATGTGGGAGGACAGGTCATGAAGCCCTCAGGGTAGGGTGCCACCCACTAAAGAATTCTAGTCAGAGTAAACAGGAGCACTTTTCAGTATTTTTGTAACTTTTCTATAAATTTGTGAATTTAAGGGAGAATTTAAGTCTGTCTAGTAAAATAGAATATTCCATATAAATAGTGTTAAAGTAACTTGCAACTCCAAACTGTATCTCAAAAACTCTCCAGGTAAGTTTAAAATCTTTTTTTTTTTTTTGAGACGGTGTCTTGCACTCTCGCCTAGGCTGGAGTGCAGTGGCACCATCTCGGCTCACTGCAAGCTCCACCTCCCGGGTTCACGCCATTCTCCTGCCTCAGCCTCCCGAGTAGCTGGGACTACAAGCGCCCGCCACCACGCCCGGCTAATTTTTGTATTTTTAGTAGACAAGGTTTCACCGTGTTAGCCAGGATGGTCTCGATCTCCTGACCTTGTGATCCACCCGCCTCGGCCTCCCAAAGTGCTGGGATTACAGGCGTCAGCCACTGCGCCCGGCAAGTTTAAAATCTTAATATAGGCCGGGCGCGGTGGCTCACGCCTGTAATCCCAGCACTTTGGGAGGCCGAGGCGGGCGGATCACGAGGTCAGGAGATCGAGACCATCCTGGCTAAAACGGTGAAACCCCGTCTCTACTAAAAATACAAAAAATTAGCCGGGCGTAGTGGCGGGCGCCTGTAGTCCCAGCTACTTGGGAGGCTGAGGCAGGAGAATGGCGTGAACCCGGGAGGCGGAGCTTGCAGTGAGCCGAGATCCCGCCACTGCACTCCAGCCTGGGCGACAGAGCGAGACTCCGTCTCAAAAAAAAAAAAAATAAATAAAATAAAATCTTAATATAAAAATCACACTAATATATTTAACCATTTAAAAGTTAAAAACTTATGTTCATACTCCCTAAAGAGATAAAAAGAACAAAGAAATTGAGGGGAAAATATCTGTAACATAATACACAAATACTTACTGTGCTTAAAAATGAAAGAAAAAACTTCCTGGTGAAAATTTTAAAAATGGCTGGGTGTGGTGGCTCACTCTGTAATCCCAGCATTTGGGGAGGCCGAGGTGGGAGGATTGCTTGAGCCCAGCAGTTCAAGACCAGCCTGAGCAACATTTAAAAAATACAAAACATTTAAAAAATTAGCCACAGGTGATGGTATGCACCTGTAGTCCCAGCTACTCAGGAGGCTGAGGTGGGAGGATTGCTTGAGCCCGGAAGTTTGAGACTGTGGTGAGCCATGATTTTGCTACTGCACTCCAGCCTAGGTAACAGAGTGAGACCCTGCTTCAAACAAATAAACAAAAAAAGAATGTTCTAGCTTGGAAGTCACCAAAGAAATGCAGAGGAAGCCCGCGATTAAGTCACCATTGCTCCCCTGCGGGCCACATCCGGGACTCATTGTTCTACACAGTGACAACAACTGACATGTGCTTCCCTGTGGCATCTCACACAATCCCACCACTCTGTGAGGCTGTACTGTTGCCCACTCAGGCAGGGAGAGAGATGAGCAGAGAAGAGAAGTCACCAGGCCAGGTCAGACAGCCAGAAGGGGCAGGGATGGGGGCTGACCCAGGCAGGTGGACCCCAAGCCATGTGGCTCTAGGGAATAATAATGGTCATGAATAAATATTTAACAAGAAAATACCAGTTAAGGTTAAAATGGGGAAAAGCTAAAAAACAACAAGGAAAACTGAAAAATAACCCAGAGGCTACTGAGTAAAATGACACAACACCTGTGCCATTACTGCTCGTGCTGGAGGAGCGCGCTCAATGGTGGGGCTTTTAGAAACCTCACCAGGCACAAAGTGGGCCAGGCGTGAAAGGGGCAGCAAGCCGCCATGGAAATGTGGAGACCAAACAGCAACAGCAGATTCTCCTTCAGGGGCGAGGAGGGGCGACTTAGCTTCTTCTTTGCGCTTCTCTGTATTTTGCAAGTCTTGTTTGCAAAGAACCTGCTTTACTTTTATTACAGTGATTTTTAAAAGATGATCTATTTTTTAAAAGGCCAATTCTCTAAATGTGGCTGAGGACAACTCACGCCCACCTCATGCCGCAGAGCAGCACATGGCCGAGGGCCACGCCAGGCCGACAGAAGACCCTGGACACAGTGCCCTCCTAGCTGCACCTGTGAAGCACAAGAAAACCCCTGCTCCATCCACGGCTTCCAAAAAAACCACACCAGAACATTCTCAGATTGTAAATGAAGCAGCATACTCCCACATAACTCATGGGCCAGAGAAGAACAGTAGAAACAGAAAACACTTTTAGTATCTGTGCTACCACAGCAAGCACCAGAACACACATTTAACTGAATGATATCTCAAAACTCATTTATAGCCTCAAATTCATATTTCAATAAAAGCCTGAAAATCAAATATCTAAGTATTCAAGTTAGAAAAATAAAGGAGAAAGAAAATAGCAAAGGCCAGTGTGGTGGCTCACACCTGTAATCCCAGCACTCTGGGAGGCCAAGGAAGGTGGATCACCTGAGGTCAGGAGTTCAAGACCAGCTTGGACAACATGGTAAAACCCTGTCTCTAATAAAAATACCAAAAAATTGGCCAGTCATGGTGGTCAGCACCTGTAGTCCCAGCTACTCGGGAGGCTGAGGCAGGAGAATCGCTTGAACCCCGGAAACGGAGGTTGCAGTGAACTGAGATCACGCCACTGCTCCCCAACCTCAGCAACAGAGCAAGACTCCATCTCAAAAAAATTAAGAAAGAAAGAAAATAACAAACAATAGAAATTGATGAAACCAAAAATAAAGTCTCTTTAAAAACAGAATCAAAGACTAAGATTTTTTTTTTTTCAAAAGATCAGTATAAGATTCTCAGAAGGAAGAGGAGGATGTCAGCGTTGGGCTCAGAGCCATCTAAGAGGACACTGAACAACTTTGCATGAATCAGTGTAAAGCTGAGTGGAAATGGGAAGACTCCCCAGACTGATACAAAAATGGAAAATCTGCTCAGTCCTATAAACTATTAAAGAAATTACACCGCACTCCAGCCTGAGTGAGAGAGCTAGAACCCATCTCAAAAAAAAAAGAAAGAAAGAAAGAAAGAAAGAAATTGAACTTCTAATTTAAAAACTTTCCTCAAAGAAATCTCCAGGCCCAACTGGCATTTCCGGTAATTTTTCCCAAACATTTAAGGCAGAAATATTATGAATATTACATAAATTCTTCCAAAGAGTATTTTAAAAGCATTTTCCAACTGCTTTTCTAAGTCCAGCATCATCTTAACAGGAAAACCTGACAAAAACATTATAAAGAAAAAAAAATTATAGACCAGCGTCTCTTGTAACCAGAGTTGCTAAAATCCTAACAAAATATTCTTCAAATTGAATCTAGCAATATATAAAAAGGACAGTGCATTGTGACCAAGGTGAGTCTACACCAGGTTGAACAAAAGTAAAAAAATGTAATCGTGATAGGATAAAGAAGAACCTACAAAAATCACATACCCTATAACGTACCCTCTAACACAGCAATGCCACTCCTAGGTACGTGACCATGAGAAATGGGTACCCAGGTGCCCCCAAAAGATAAGTACAAGAGTGTTCACAGTAGATGCTTCATAATAACCCAGACTGAAATCCTCCCAGGTGCTGAGAACAGGCAGCTGGATAGCGCGGCATCTGTGTTCAACCGAAGGCCCGAGGGAGAGAACGCTGCTGTTACCCGAGCCACCTGACTAACCGCGAGCAGGAGAGCAGGAGAGCAGGAGAAGGCAACACGAATTCCACACCTCAGGAGTCCACCTAGACAAGATCCAAAGCGAGCAACAGACACCCACGACCTGGCAGGCATGTGGGCGGCCCCGTCATGGGGCGGGCCGAGGGCTCTGGTGGTGTCACCATGTCTAATGCTGGCACTGTTCGCTTCCTGTTTGCTTCAAGAAGACCAACCTGTACACTTTTCTGAATACTTGCTACCCTTCAACAGGAAAGGTTACTTAAAAACCGTTTCTGGGACACCGGTGGAGTCAGGTATGTGATGTCTTCTTAACATTATTAAAAGAGAGAGAAAATCCATTTTTGTATCATAACTGTGCTATTCTGAGCCCCTAACAGATATTTTGTATGCTTTAGGGCATATGACTGGATTCCACAACATCCGAAGCCTCTTGCATGTTTCCATGAGTTTCGCTTCTGAGATGGGCCACCAGGGCCGTGTCACAGAATGATGCGTCTGGGTCTTGGCCCCCGACTTGGCAGCGCCCACACTGAATGGCTGAGACCCTCCTTACCGGATCTCCGCTGCCCTGTGCTCCGGGAAACGCTTGTGGAAATACTTAAGCGCCTGCATCACGGCTGAGGTGCACTCCACATAGGTGTAGTCAATCATGATGTCCCCTGGGAAAGGGAGGGAAGAACCAAGTGTTGGGTTTCACCCTGGCTGCCCAGGCTCTGCAGCTCAGGCAAAGCCACAACAAGCAAGAGTGTTGCAGTGAGCCCGGGCCCGGACGCTGCCTCCCTGACCAACCTCCAGAGCAAACGCCGGCTGGTCCAGGACACACACCTGTGCTACCTGAGAGCGAAGATGAGGGGAACACAGCAGAAAGCTGCGACCCCACCCCAAAAAGCCATGTGTGATGTGGAGGGGACCAGGAAGGCGGGTATGTGAGGTGCCCAGAGGTGGACCAGGGCTGAGATCCTCCCCCAAGACCAGTACGGTGGCAACCATGCACACACAGCAGCCTACTGCCCATGGCATGGGTCCCCACAGTCCCCACAGTCCCCAAAGACACCTCCCTGCAGGCGCTCTGGATACACAGCAGCCTCCACAGAACACAAGCCCTGTGGACTGAGCAGGAACCAGCCCAGGCTGTGGATCTCACTGGAACCCTCCACTGTCCCCTAGGTCTGACCTGATGCCCTCCTATCCACAACACAAGGATCCTGCCACCCCGGGGGATGGAGGAGCGCAGAACAGCCTGGGCTGAGGGAGGGCTCCAGACAGATCTGCCGGTGAACCTGGGCCCTTGCAGCCTCGGGCAAGGGGGAAAAGCTGGCCCCCAGGTTTGTGTACCACAGTGCTAGCCAGCCCCGGGTTTGCGCGCCGCAGTGCTGGCCGACCACTCACCGAAGACCTCCGAGGGGTTCAGCAGCTCCAGCAAGTGCCCCCCACGCTTGGTCTCATAGGTGGCGAACCCTCCATCTGGATTTCTCATGTTCAGCAGCTGAAATCACAGAGAGCACCCTAGAACTCGCCCATGTGCTGAGCACACACAGGCGCCCAGGGCACAGCGGAACTCTCTAGAGGCAACACTAGGGCTGACAACCGATGGGGCAGGAACAGGGGGCGGAGAGCTGATTTCCACGTTAACCAAGCCCTCGGGTGCCCCAAGCAGCAGCTGCAACCTCATCTGTCAGGGCCTCCATGCACAGCCACCAGGGAACATGCCCCCACACGTGCCCATGACTTAGAAACCAAGTCTGTGCTGCCAGAAAAGGGCAGGGTCTCCACTGGGAAACACACACAAAAGCCAGATGTGCTGAAAGGATGTGGCACCAAAACCAACACCAACAAATTCCCTCTTCAGACACCCAGTGGAAACCACCAGAGAGAAACCTTGGGGGCCACGCCGGCTCCCCCAAGTATCGGTGGCTGGGCTGGACACCAGCTCCGCAGTGCAGGGCCCTGTGCACACAGCCCAGCAAGGCCCCTAGGGGTCCAGCCAGAGCTCACAGTTCTCCACATATAGACACCATCCAAGGACAAGCTCCTACGGCCTGGCCGGACTGTGTGCTGGGCTGGAGCCCACAGGAGTGGAAGTGAGCACGCAGCTCATCTGCAGGACACGAGGTATGGACGGGGCTGCTGGGACCACAGCCTTACCACAGCCACAGCATCGCAGAGCCGTTCTCTGGGGATGTGCTCGGTGACATGGGGACACTTCTCCTGCAGGAGCAGCACAGCCTTCAAGGCCTCAGCCGTGCAGTCAGAAACGATCCAGCCGCAGTCCAGCGTACTGAAGGAGAAGCCACCCTGCAGAGCACAAGCCATGACTCCAGGCTGGGGGTGTCCACACCCCAGTTCTCAGAACCTCCCCACAGCCGCACGCATCCCTCCCCACCACAGAGCACCCGGTCAGGGCAGGGGCCCAGCCACCAAAGGTGTGGGTGCAGCCAGGGCCCCAAGCTGGGTACATCCAGACAGACCTCCAGCTTCCAGCACAGGGACCCTCAGGGGTGCAGCTCACACCCTCAACACCTGCAGATCTCACGACGGACAGGATGGGGCCCAGGTGCCCCCCACCCCCATTGTAAACAGGCAGCAGCAGCTGGGTCCATGCCTAATTTCACAGTCTGCACCTGTGGTCACAGCCCACACCGGCTCTGAGGTCTACTTCTTTCCTCTGCCTTCCCCGGACACACTGGCTACACTTCGGCTGTCCTTCTGAAGCCTGTGTGTGCCGTGACCACTGGAACTGCTCTGAGGCACGGCTGTGTGTGCAAGCCAACTGTGCCTCCATGTGCCAGGCAGCTCAGCAACATGAAGCATGAGCCCCTAGGCCAGGCATCCACCACAGCAGGACACCCAAAAACGCCAAGGGAGGAGTCCCCCAGGGAGGAGCCCCCCCTTCAGAGGGAAGGACCCACCCTGCTGAGGGCGGCCTCCCCTGGGGGACGGGACAGGGATGGGGCTGGCTCCCGCATACCTTGCGCATCTGGCGGTAGTACTTCTGGTAGTCGGGAGGGTTATCTGGGACCTGGGCAGCATCGAGGGCAAATGTGGAAGCAGAGAACACGTCACCACGGGACGTCCCCATCTGGGACATCGCTGAGACAGACTGGGCAGGACTGGAGAGGCAGAACGTGCCTGGGAGCTTACTCTGCCGGCCACAGCCACCACTGGTGCTGCGAGGCGCGCGAGGGCCTGCACCTGTTTAGCTCACCACCCACAGCTGCTGGGAAACGTGACTGGCCAGCGAGGGCTCAAACCAGCCCAGACGGGACTGGGAGTCAGCACCTGACTCCCCTGTGATCTCCCCACCGGCCAGAAGGCAGGGAGGGGGCCCAGGTCTCTGCGGGTGTGCTCTGTGCCAGGCGCCCCCAATGCCTCCTGAACAACCTCAGCTTCTGGCTGCCTCTCTCACCTCAGTGAGAAGGGAAGAGGCCTGGAGTGCCGTAGGGTTCAGTCAGCCTCCCCAAGTCCCCATCACCCAGAGCAAGTCCTGGGCAGGAGGCAGGAGCAGGAGCAGGCCACCATTGGGCCAGGCACAGCAGGACAATGCCCCTCCTCTGCTTGAGCCCAAGATGGGTGCCAGCCTTGGCCACACAGAGGCCAGGAAGACCCAGAAGCCCTGCAGAACAATGTCCTAGTGAGAGCTGAAGGGAGGGAGACGGGGCTGGGGGGCAGCGGTTCCAGGCAGAGGGACACTGGCTGAGGCCGTGGCCGGGACAGGGTGTGGGAGACACGGGAGGTTGGGGCGCATGTATGGGATGACTGTGGCTGCAGACTGGGGTGCAGGCACGTGTGAGAGACACTGAGGTCAAACTATGGGCTCGGGCAGGGTCTGTGGGCAGCTGATCTGGCAGGAGGGACCGGGGCTTTTGCTGCAAACAGTCTCAGGAGGGCAAGTCCACAGGCTGGCGTCACCTCCATGGGCAGAAGGTGCTTCAGAGACATGGAGGTGCCGTGTAGGCTGTGCAGCTCAGGGTACACAGCCCCTGCCCGTGCCTGGCCCTTGCACACAGTGGCTCCAACATGAGCAGGACGCAGAAACTGCCAGCACCCCCAGCACCCTGCAGGCCTCAGAGAGCTGCCCCAGGTGAGGCCAGCCCGAGGAGGACCGGTGGATGGAGCAGGGGCTAGGGAGGGGATGGGAGGGTGGGGGTGACCTGAAACACCAGTGCAGGAAATAGGGCAGGGTGGAGGTGAGGTGGGCACTTCTGCCTGCAGGAGCTCCCAGCCCTGATCCCCCTCTTCAGCCCCCTCAGAGCCCCAGGCACCGGCCTCACCTGTGAGAGCCTCAGGAACTCATGAGCCTTCTGCAGGCAGGACGAAAACTCGGGCCTGTGGTGCCCGCCCGCCTGGAAGAGACAGCAGGACAGAGAGGCTCAGCTGCCCTTGCACGGCCAGCATGGCTGCGCTGGTTTCCCGATGGTCCTGGCCACATCCTGCCCCAACCGGGGACCAGAATCAAACCAGCAGACATCTCCAGAGAGTGCCAGGGTCTCCTGCTGCACTTACCTTTAAAGACAAAACAGCAAAAGTCCATGAGATATGACTGAAGATGGAAGGGCGCAGGAGACCATTTATGGATGCCAGCACCCCCCTGCCTGGCCAGCATCCATGCCCAGAGGGTCTCCAGCACCCTGTGTAGGCAGGCCCTTTGCGTGGCCCAGCCCTCAGGGCTCTCCAGAAACACCTTCAGAATCCCACCTACCTCATTCCCACCGGCATAAAAATCCACTCTCGTTTTTCTCCAGTACTGGCTCGAGAATGCCCATAACAAACAGTTCCAGTTCTTTTTTTTTTTTTTTTTTTTTGAGACGGAGCCTCTCTCTGTCACCCAGGCTGGAGTGCAGTGGCACAATCTCGGCTCGCTGCACCCTCCACTTCCCGGGTTCAAGCAATTCTCTGCCTCAGCCTCCCAAGTAGCTGGGATTACAGGTGCCCGCCACCACGCTTGGCTAATTTTTGTGTACTTTTAGTAGAGACGGGGTTTCACCATCTTGGCCAGGCTGGTCTTGAACTCCTGACCTCGTGATCCACCCTCCTCGGCCTCCCAAAGTGCTGGGATTACAGGTGTGAGCCACCGTGCCTGGCCCAAGCAGTTCCAGTTCTAAGAAGAGCCTGGAGTCCCACTCCTGCCTGCACTCTCAGAAACAGCCTTCACCAGACTCCCCTTCTCACACAGCCTCCAGCCCCTGCCCTCCCAAGGCCCCCGACCCAGCCCAACACCCAAGGCTGCTGGCCAAGGCCGCCCCCTCCACAGCACGACCCTCTGAAGCCAGAGGCCAGAGCCCAGGTCACTGGAAGTATCGAGGAGTGGCAAGTGTGTGGCCAGCAGTGCTGCCCTCAGGTGGATGCGTGGGCTCACGTGCACAGGAAGGTCAGCTGAGGCTGAGAAAAGAGAAGGAGCCACGAACCTCAAGCAGAGCCTGGATGGCGAATGCGGTGTCCCAGATCTGTGAGCCGTTGGTGCCCTACACACAAAGGATGGTGTTACAGCAGCAGATGCAGCCCCTCCCACTCCCAGCCACTGCCTCCAGGATCCAATGGGCGCCTGAGGGCCAGGTGTGGGGGCTCCCACCCAGCCAACGCTCAGCCTCAGGCTCTGAGCCCTGGGCACCCCTCATGGCTGACAAGGGCCTCAGAGAAGGCTGAGCCCTGCAGGCAGACACACGTCGGGGAGACTCAGGGAGCCCTCCCTTTCTTCATGGGCCACCAGGCAGGACAGTGTCCCTCTGAGGACACTTCTAGGACTGGACGATCCCTTAGAGGCTCCAGCACCTACACATAGAGCATCCAGCTGCTCTCACCCAATGACAGTGGCGCACCTCAGTCATGGTGATGCCTGGAAATGACCCCATTTCTTTTTTTTTTGAGATGAAGTCTCGCTCTGTTGCCCAGGCTGGAGTGCAGTGGCGTGATCTCAGCTCGCTGCAAGCTCCGCCTCCTGGGTTCACGCCATTCTCCTGCCTCAGCCTCCGGAGTAGCTGGGATTACAGGCTCCTGCCAGCACACCCAGCTAATTTTTTTTGTATTTTTTAGTAGCATCGGGGTTTCACCATGTTAGCCAGGATGGTCTCTATCTCCTGACCTTGTGATCCGCCCACCTTGGCCTCCCAAAGTGTAGGGATTACAGGCGTGAGCCACCGCACCTGGCCAATGATCCCCATTTCTGAGTACACCTGGAGGTGATGGGAATTCTGCACAGGGCTGGGAAGGCTCCACCTCAAATCTCACCCCGAGCTGGGCTCACAGGTACACAGCCTGGTCTCAGTTCAAAGGGCCGGTGACCAAACCCTAGTGAGACAGAGCTGGGCACTGACCAGACAGACATGGGGACTGGGCAGGGGGTGGTGTGTGGCAGAGGCATCCAGACATCGTGCACTGGAGGGACAAGGCAGGGACCACCAGAAAAGCATTCTCGCCAAAGAAACACAATGGGATCGAGCCTCAGGGCCTGGCCAGTTTACAAAAACTCAGGGAACATAAGAAGCAACCAGTCAGATCTGCAATGTGAAGCCCTTCAGGAACAAACCTTCCAGGAGGAGAAAAGAGACCACGAGAGACGGCTGGACTAACAGGAGCTCAAAGACCAACAACTGAAGGCCTGTGCAGGCCTGGCCTGAATCCTGATTCACAAACACCAGCCACAACGTGAGGACTACACTCAGGAACCGTCATAAGTTTGTTGGGTGTGACAACCTCAGAGCAATTTTGTCAAAACACAGACGCCCTCATCAGCTTGAGGTGCACTGATGAGTCGGTGCTGAGGGAGCGCTGGGCAGGGAGGGGCAGGGAGGGGACAGGGAGGGGCAGGGAGGCCAGGGCCTGCTCTAGGGCTTGCTACTCACCTCCACTTTACATGTGTTTTGAAAACCTTTTCACAAAACACGGACAGTGTCCGGGGAGCCTCTGGGGAGCTCAAGGCCAGCTGGGTAAAAGCTCGTGGCTGGGGGCACCTGGCACCAAGGGTAGCCCTGGGGCGGGCAGTGCTGGGCCCACGTGTATCCATCCCAAATGTGACACCCAGGACACCTCTGGAGACTCCACATTTCCACACTGAATCAGGTGGGGGACAGAAGACAGGCACCGCAGGGCGTAACCCTCCTTAGACCACAAGACACAGGGCAACACTGTCTGGGCTTCTGACACGCACAGAGGGGCGCAGGCTCAGCCCAGTCGGACAGGACTGCGGTCTACAGGGCCCCCAGAGCCAGGACAGGACCAGGGTCAGCCAGGATCCACCGGCCTCCCCTCTCCTTGTGCTTGGTGCCCCTCATGACTGGGTTCCAGCCCACTCAGGCCAAGTCCACGGGGAGCTCCCAGGCCCGGCCACACGCCACCACGGTCCTCCAGGCTCCTGTCCTGTCCACCCAGGACCTTTAAGAAGAAGCCCCTTAAATTAAGAGTGCATGGAGGAGAAGCCCCCACTAACCAGAGCCACCTCCTGCCACAGTAACAAGATGAGAGCTTCTGCAGCTCTGGGTCTGTCGTTACACAGCTGAGCCCACTCAGATCATCAGGGCAAAAAGCAAACAGGACAGCTGCAGACAGACATCGAGAACGGTGGGCACCCACACAGAGACCAACAGCACCCACAGGGACACGGCCAGAGGCCTCAACTGACTCAGCCTCTAGTCGCACGCTGCCGGGACCTGGTCCAGGAGGAGTTATTTCTGAACCCCAAAGGAAAAATAATAAAGGGGAGACATGATTGCAAAGGAAGCATGCAGCCGCAGTCCCGCAGCCCTTACCTGCATTTTCATGCCGTCAAGGCCCATCCTGTGAGGAGAAAAAAGCCCAAGTCAGGTGCAAGGAGAAAGCTGGAAGCCCAGCTGCTACCCAGACCCTGCACTCAGGAGGGTCCCAGAGAGGCCGTCTGTCCCCTCCCGAGGCCTGGCACTGGCCTGGATGCCACCCCAGCTGGGCTGCTGGGCTCCTGGGGGTGAGGGCCACACTCTATGGAAAACAGGACACACTCACCCAGAAGGGCCACACCCAAGGCAAGGGGCAGCGGGAGGCTCCCCGACCCCAGGCTGTGCCAGCCCTGCCGCCCTCGTGCAGTGCTGAGGCACCAGAGGAAGAGGCCTGTACAGCGGAAGCTTCCCACCATGGGACGGCTCTCTGCCCTCCATGACAGGGGCCCCACCTCCAGGGCACAGTCCATGGCTGACAAGCTCCCCTTGTCCACAGGCCTCCTGATGCCAACCTGAACCTGCCCTGCTACCTACCACCCCCTTCCTCACTCTACCTTCTGGGAACACCCCACACTTCCACTGGGTGGCAAATCTTCCAATTCAAAGACAACCCTCAGTGGCTTCCACAAGCCCTGACACTGCTGGTTCCTGGAGGTATTCCCTGGCAGTATTCCCAGATGGCACCGTGGGGGCCCCCTCACTGGGATGCAGCTGGGGCTCAGATCCAGTCTTCGTGAGAGGCCCCGCCAGCATATCCCAGCCACACTCACCAGAGATAGTCCGGGATTCTGGAGACATGCTCCTGGAAGGCAGTGGAGGCGGGCCCGTCCACATACCAGCGCACAAGCATGTTGATGGTTTTCGAGATCTGCAGGAGAGACAGCCCTGTCAAGGCTCCGCTCCAGACCCACAGCAGCCTCCAGGGACAAGGTCTCGTCCAGATCCACAGCAGCCCCCAGGCATAAAGTGCCGTGCAGATCACTCAGGGCCAGGACAGGGGCCTTCTGCTCTAACAGGCATTTCCTGAGCGAGGATGGGCAACAACTGTGTCCCCAGGACCCAACTCAGACAGAGGCAGTGTCGGCCAAGGCCACAGCCTGCCTTAGGCTGTGAGAAGGAGCAGCACTCCACCAGGGAGAAGCGAGGGGTTCCAGGAGAAACCAGAGGGGCATGGGCTACCAGGTGCCTTAGAGACAACACAGGGGACAGAGGACAGGGCCTGAGGGGCCCAGGAAGAGATGCGAAGACAGGACTGTAGCAGTAGGGACCACTTGCCCCCCTTCTTCCTCAGAACAGAATGTTCCAGAGGCCCCCAACTTTTTACTTATGCATCTCACAAGTCAAGATCCAATTGCAAGCATGTTTCTAATGCGTTTAGTACAGATGTGCTCTATATGGGATTAAACCAAAACCCACAAAGAACCACATCACTGCTGAGCAAAAAACAAGGGACCCGCTGCAGGGTCAGTCAGGATTTGTGATCCACTGAGGTGGCATGAGGCCCAGAAAATCCGAGATGCAGTGTCAGGGTGGGACTCAGTGGCCCAGTGCCACCTGGGTATGTCCAGAGAATGCCTAAGCCAACCCACTACACCGCAGCAGCTACGCGCACAGCTATGGCAGCAGCTGCAGCACAGCCCAGGGCCTGCTGACTCTGTCAGGAGGCGGCCACGCACCAGCACAGCCCGGGAATTGCACCCTCTAAGGTCACTGAACTGGCCACACCTGGACCCCTGCAGGCCCCACAGAGGTGAGAGCTCCAAGTCCCTAGCTAGGCAGGAGGAATCAGGAGTGGCACCTGCTACTCCCACCCACCCTGGGCATGTCTAAACCCCACGGGAGAATGGCGAATGATGAACTGTTTGGGGAGAGGGAACCAAGTGAGGAAAAAGCACCCCTCCCAGCTAGCCAGCTAGCCAGCAAGATCTCAGGGAGGGGCCTCTAGGAGAGTGTCCAGGCACACTGAGGACAAGAGCCGGTGGGGGACGGAAGCGGGGGGTCGAGTGTGGTGGGGCAACTTCACTGAGCTGGGCGTGCAGGGGTCCAGGACAGAAGCCCTCAGACACTTGTGCGATCAGAGGGCCACCTCCCAAATGGAGGTACACCAGGCTCCAGGAAACCCCACTCCCAGCTCACAGCCCGGCCTCTAGGACTTCACTTTCGGACCTCAACCCCCAGGGGCTGCAGTCAGAGGCCGGGCAGGGGCACTGACCGGGCCGATGCTGATGCTCTTGGTGAATCGGTCGTCGGCCACAATGTGTTCATACAGCTTCTGCACGGCCCGCTGCCGCAGGTGGGCACTGTGGTGGTGCTCATACAGGTTGAGGAGCGCTACAGGGGACAGGGGTCAGTGGATGCCAGACACCATGACACTGGCCTCAGCCTGGAGCTCCATGCACTGCAACGCCTGGACTTGCCCTTCCCAGGGTTTCCCCCTCCCACCCACCCCCAGGCCTGGTCTCTGAGCTCCTCCTTCCCTGCCCAGGAGGGGCTGCCCCACACCTCCTACCACACACCCTTGCACAGGGTGGACTCCTGAGAGTAGAAGACCAGCTGGTTCTCAGGGTGGAGGGGCAGGGCGATGAGATCCCGCCCCCTGGGGCCTGGCACAGAGGAGGTGGCCCAGTGCCGCTGGCAGGGGATGAGTGCGTGAATGAGTGGGCGACACCCTGACCCTGACCCTGGGCTGCCCTGCCGGCCCCTCAGGAGGCGCTCACCATATACCACGCGGAGCAGCCAGCTGTGCGGCGTGTACAGCTCGTCGGGGGCCACGTTGTTCCTCTGCGCCAGCCAGTCAATGCTGGCGAAGTCCTCCACATAGAGCTCCTGGTGGGGGCAGTGTCTGAGCCTTGGGGCCTGGGAGCACCTGGTAGGCCTGGCTCAAACCAGGAGGGGTGGCCTCCCACCATCCGCCCTCAGGGCCCTGGGCCAGTCCCTTCCTGGGTGGGGGTCCCTCCAGCAACTGACCCCGAGGCCACATGAAGGCCCCCTATGGGAGGACCGCTCTGAGGAGCTCCCCAGCTCCATGAGTCCCAGGTCTGCCCAGAAGCTCATTTCCTCCCTCTGCCCCTCCTTCTTCCCCATGGCAGGCCTGATAAACATCCTGCACCTCAAACCTCGCCTCAGGCCTGCTTCCAGAGGACACAGTGCACATCTGCCTCCTGCATCCCTTGAGTCCTGGAAGTCCCCCCCAGGAACCCTGGGCTACAGCTACTGACTGTCCCATAGCACAAGTCCCCTCTGGGCAGAGCTTGCTCACTGTTTATTATAGGATGGAGGAAGGTGGAGGCTCTGCTCCACAGGGCTCTCCGCTCCACAGGGCCACCAGGTGAGTGGACAGGTGTGGTTAGATTCCAGAAGCCCCAGGCCCTGTGGGTCCCAGCCCCAGAGGCCTTCACTTTGTTCCCTGATGAGGTCCTACCTGGCGGAGGCTCTGGACCAGCGGGTCTTCCGCGGCACTCAGCCGAACGGCGTAGCAGTAGCTCATGGGCAGGTACACCTGCCGGCAGTGGCACCAGAGTGTGGAGGGGTGTGCCGGTGCCCAGTCAGGAAACAGCCTGGGGCAACAGCAGGAGTCAGTGGGAGACCCCAAGACTCAAGCCTGCCCCCTCCGCCAGCATCCATACCTTGGGCCCTTTCAAGCACGAACACTGGTGGATGGCTATTCCCCACCACGTCAGTGCATCTGCGGGCATTTCCCAACCGTGCTCCTGAGGGGCACAGTTGAACCATAGGTGCACCCTCTGAGGAGCTGCACCTCCTAGTTCGGTCAGCATTTTGCATCCTAAAACCAGGTGATGGAGCTCCTAAATGCTTAGGATTGTCCGTGGGTTTCTTAGCTACAACAAACGTACCTTGGTAACATAAAACATCAACAATGGGGATATGGTGTGAGGGCCCCAGGGAACACTCTTGGCTATCTTTGCAACTTTTCCAGAAATTGGAAACTACTCCAAAATTTAAAGTTTACTTTTAAAAGTGTATTTAAGAAACTTTAGGAGGGGCACGGTGGCTCACGCCTGTAACCCTAGCACTTTGGGAGGCCGAGGCTGGTGGATCACTTGAGGTCAGGAGTTTGAGACCAGCCTGACCAACATGGCGAAACCCCATCTCTACTAAAAATACAAAAATAAGCCAGGCATGGTGGTGTGTGCCTCTAGTCCCAGCTACTCGGGAGGCTGAGGCAGGAGAATCGCTTGAACCTGGGAGGAGGTTGCAGTGAGCCGAGATTGTGCCACTGCACACAGCCTGGTGACAGAGCGAGAGACTCTGTCTCAAAAAAAAAAAAAAGAAAAGAAAAAGAAAGAAAAAAGAAACTGTAGGTCTGTGGAATCTCCCCAAGGCCTGGGTCTTTGATCACTGGTCTGCTGACGTTAGCACAGCTCCACCAGCTTCCCAGGGTCTGTGTGTGCCTCATGTGTTTTCTCTCCCTTTCCCTGCTAGCCCCCATCCTTATGTGATGCCTTATGTGATGCTAGCCCCATCCTTAAGTGAGGGTGAGCAATGCTGAGCCTTCCCTGCTCCCTGACTGTGGCATCAGGCCTTGGCCCACTTTCACACCCACTTACTTAAAAGGGTGTTTTTTTTTCTCACATTTTGGGTTACACTTCCAGCATTTCGCAGCTGGAGTGGTTCAGGTCTGTGGTCCTCCTTTCACCTCCCAACCCACCCTCCAAGCAACTCCAGCAAAGACAAGCAGCACCCTGGCGTGCCCATGCGGCAGCACTGACCGACGGCCCCCCCAAGTGGGGCAGATGAGACGCCCTCACCAGCACCAGCGTGTGGAACCCACACCCCTCCTGCCCTGGCAGCTGTGCTGACTGCCGTCTCAGTCCTTCCTCTGCCGCTCATTACACACGGGCGAGGCGCAGAGTCCAGCGGGCATTTGAATGGCCCCAGGACACCTCCCAACCTATGTGCTCTACGGCCCGCCTCAGGTAGCGGCACCCTAACCCTGCCCCCTACTCTGGTATCTCTGTCTACCCTCCCGGGGTGATCTCACCATCCCTGTGCCTCCCCGTCACCACCCAAACTGGCTTCCGGGGTTAAGCCCCCGGCCTTTGCATCAGGACACTGCTGCTGTCCTTTCTTGAGCGGCCCCTTCACTTCCTGCCTCCCCTAACTTGACCCCCCACCCCCCACCCCCGCACCAAAGTCATCTAACACAAGGGACCCCCCCAGCCCTGCTGATAGCTCTCTAGGGGACACCCCCACCAGGGTTCCCACAACACTCAAGGAAGCCAGCAGGGGCTCTGTGTGGTTCCAGGGTCTCACTTCCCAAAATGCATAACGGGGTAAACTCATATGCACGAGTGTTTTCTGGGGAGATGTCCACTGCTTTCAATAGATAGCCATAAAATGTTACAAGACACCACATAAGGCCGGGAGCAGTGGCTCATGGCTCCCAGCACTTTGGGAGGCCAAGGCAGGCGGATCACCTGAGGTCAGGAGTTTGAGACCATCCTGGCCAACATAGTGAAACCCTGTCTCTACTAAAAATACAACAATTAGCTGGGCGTGATGGCCTGAGACTGTAATCCCAGCTACTCGGGAGGCAGAGGCAGGAGAATTGCTTGAATCCAGGAGGCGGAGGTTGCAGTGACCCCAAATCACGCCACTGCACTCCAGCCTGAGTGACAAAGCTAGACTCCGTCTCAAAACAAAACAAAAAAAACACACACCAGATAATAAGAAATTAATGTTGATTTTGCTGGGTATTTAAACAGTATGTGGTTCTGTTTAAAAAAACAAACACTGATCTTTTTTTTTTTTTTTTTGAGACAGAGTCTCACTCCGTCGCCAGGCTGGAATATGGTGGCACGATCTCGGCTCACGGTAACCTCTGCCTCCCAGGGTCAAGTGATTCTCCTGCCTCAGCCTCCCGAGTAGCTGGAAACTAGAGGCACGCGCCGCCACGCCCAGCTAATTTTTGTATTTTTAGTAGAGACGGGATTTCACTATGTTGGCCAGGATGGTCTCGATCCCTTGACCTCGTGATCTGCCCGCCTCGGCCTCCCGAAGTGCTGGGATTACAGGCATGAGCCACCCCACCTGGCCACAGACACTGATCTTTTAAAGGCACACACGCTGAGTCCACAGGTGAGGTGTCACGTCGGGACACACTTCACATTCACCAGCAAAGGAGACAAACGCAGCAGCAGCAACACAGGACGCCCCTGTGCAGGCTGGGGGAGGGGCACCCCCCCACTTCTACAGATGCTGAGTCTTCCACAGCAAGAGGGAAGCCACCCAGCCCTGCCTGCAGCCTGACTCGGGGTACCTCCATCCATGGCACAGCCTTCTTCCTGCTCAATTGGGAACCTCCCCCTTTCTGTACCCCTACAGGACTCAAGCTTGATCAGGGCCTCTGCCAGGAGCCTAACTCCACCCACCCACAGAATGCCCACCCCTCTCTGCTGTCACAGCCTGCACCTGACCCACGGTCCCTGTCACTCTACTCCCCGGGACAGCAGCAGCGACCCAACAACCCAATCAACAGCAGACATACCACATCTCTGGGAACAGGGTATTGAGGCCTTCCCAGCTGTAAACATTCAGGACAGCCAGCCAGAACTTCCCCCAGGAGGGGATGGCCACAGCACCACCTGAGCGGGGAGAGAATAGGCCCACGTCATCTGCTTCCTGTCAGCAAAGTCTGCACTGCCTCTAGCTGGGAAGCTTCACCCTCTGGGAGTCACGTGTGCCCCTCTCCATGAGGCAAGGGCAGCCTCATGTGGATCTTGCGACCCCCATGTGCGAAGCAGGTTCCAGAGTGCTGAGAACTTGCCTGGATACACGGCCCCCTAGGTGGAACCAGTGGCTTTCCTGGGAGTGTGTGTGTCCAGCCCCAGGAGAGGTGTTTGCAACCCCTGGCCCCAGGAAGGAGCACATGAAGACAGCTACCTGGGAAGGTCCAGGGACACCTCAGTGCTCAGGTGAGCGAGGGGCCCAGGTGCACATGCGCCTGGAGAAGGCAAGGTGGGGAAGTGACAGCGCACACTCAGCCTCGCCCTCTGAGCCAAGCCTGAGCTGCCCCAGTCTGTGTCATCTCCACTTGGCAGACTGGTCCTGTATGGGAACAAAGACGACCCTAGACTCCAGAGTAGCTCCGGCACGCTGGCCCCATGCCAGAGCCACTTCAGCAGCAGCAGTCCTGGCACAGCCACACCATCTAAACATGCTTCTGAGGAGTCCCTGCTCCAAACCCCAAAAGGTATGCAAAAGTCAATAAAGACCCACAAAGCTACTAGGCAAAGTGCAGCCTAAACACGTTCCTTCACCAGGCAGGCGCCAGGAGTGTGGTGGGAACCGGACAGCAGCCTTGGGGACGCAGCATCAACGACACCAAAGGCTGACAGTGAACTGAGGACAATAGTGACAAGCTCACCAAGAAAGAAGGCAGGATCTCATGAGAATGCGTAACAGGACACTCCACCTGGCACGGTAGGTCAGGAAGAGGTCCTCAAAGAAGGAACACGTAAAGTGTGAGCCAGCGGGGCAGGAGTGGAAGGTAAGAGGCTCCAGGCGAAGGAGGCAGTGCATGGCGAGCCCTGGGATAATAAGGGTCTCTGAGGAGCTGACAGGAGGCCCCTGCGCATGCAGCAGAGAGCAGGGCAGGTGGGACTGGCTACGGAAGGTCTGTGAAACACAGAGGACAAGACCAGGCCAGGCTCTGCAGAGCCACAACATAAACTAGGTTTTCTTGGAGCAGCAGGAGCCATGGATTCCCTTGGGCTGGAATTGCCCCTCAGGGCCTATAGGCAAGAGGAGAGGTAGCCAGGCCGGGCATGGAGAGGTAGCCAGGGGCTTGGAGAGGTAGCCAGGCCGGGGCTTGGAGAGGTAGACAGTTGGGGCTTGGAGAGGTGGACAGCCTGGGGCTTGGAGAGGTAGCCAGGCCAGGGCTTGGAGAGAAAGATAGTTGGCGCTTGGAGAGGTGGACAGCCCAGGGCTTGGGGAGGTAGCCAGGCCAGGGCTTGGAGAGGTAGACAGTTGGGGCTTGGAGAGGTGGACAGCCTGGGGCTTGGAGAGGTAGCCAGGCCGGGGCTTGGATAGGTGGACAGCCAGGGCTTGGAGAGGTAGCCAGACCAGGGCTTGGAGAAGTAGACAGTTGGGGCTTGGAGAGGTAAGACAACCCGGGGCTTGGAGAGGTGGACAGCCCGGGGCTTGGAGAGGTGGACAGCCCCGGGCTTGGAGAGGTGGACAGCCCCGGGCTTGGAGAGGTGGACAGCCCCGGGCTTGGAGAGGTAGACGATCAGCTTGGAAGGTGCAAGCTCCAGGGCTGCTCTTGCCTGCAGCCAGGCTGCCCCCAGAAGGTGGACATATTAACACGGTTCGTTTAAGTTTTTGCCAATTCAGGAAACAAACAGAATTACCTGGTTGTCTTAGTTTGCTTGGCTTTATTTTATTAGAGACAGGGTCGCACTCTGTCACCCAGGCTAGAGTGCGGTAGTACAACCAGCTCATTGCAACCCAGAACTCCTGGGCTCAAGTGTTCCTCCTGCCTTACTAGCCTCCAAGTAGCTGAGACTACAGGTGCATATCATCACACCTGGCTAATATTTTATTGTTTTTGTAGAGACCAGGTCTCACTATGTTGCCCAGGCTGGCCTCGAACTCTTAGGTTGAAGTGGTCCTTCTACCTCAGTCTCCCAAAGTGCTGGAATTGCAGGCGTGAGCCACTCACTGTGCCTGGCTCTTAATTTGCTTTTTTAAAAAATGATGCCTAGGTTAAACAGTGTCTGCCTACTTCTGCTTTGACAAATTCCCTGCTCATGTGCTTTTGCCCACTGTTTCAGCTGCAAGTGCATCTTTCTGTATCGCGTTTGTGAGAGCTCATTATCGAGTTGACACGAACCCCTGGCCCAGCACATGCTGCACATGCCGTACCTTTCTTGTGAAGAATGTTCCGGGCTCGTACCAGGTCAGGATCGTCAGGCCCAACACCCAGAATTCTGAGAGACACATAGTTGAGCGCAGTCCCAAACACGGTGGACTTATCCTCAATGTGCCTACAGGAGCAGAGGACAGGTGAGAAACCGGTATCTGTCCTTACTTCTAAGAAATAAAGCAAAACTTTCTGTGGAGTTTCCTCAGAAAACTAAGAATGCTAAAATGCCTTAACCTGACATAACATGCCAACACAGGAGACCCCTGAGCAGCCACTCTGCAGTACGAATTCATGCACCTCCCATGACAACTGAGCCCCCCACTCCTTCCTCACCGTGACCCGCCTGCTCTACACCTTCCCACGCCTGAGTCAACACTTCTAGCTCAAGGGCGGTCCACTTTGGGCTATGGCTCTGCTCCCAAAGTGTGTGCCACATGGCAGGAAAGCTGTCAGGCCTTGTCTCCACCTGCTGCCAGCCCAGAGTCAAGGGCAATTTTCTTCTGCCTTAAGTGATAACAGACTGACAGTTTTCACATGTGGGTCTCAAGAGTGTCCTAACAGCCACAAAATCCATTTAACAAAAGATGTGAAGCCGAGGCCCCACCTGCATGGCCTTCAGCCCACTCCCCGCCTGCTAGTCTCTCCCTCACCCACCCCACACCCACAGCTGCAATCACTCCTAACCCCTGGCAGCTGCCTGGAAACCCAAGCATCTCCTACATCATGAGAACACACACATGCACATGTGCAGTGACACAGGGGCAGGCACACTCACAGGCCCCAGCCACCGTCAGGGAGCTGCACTGACCGCAGGTACCGCACAATCTCTTCTCTGTATCCGGCTGGCAGAGGGATGCGTGCCACGTGGCAAGTGATCAGGAGGCCTGTGTGGCAGGAGAGATGTTCCTCACTGGGGACAGGTGGTCATGACTGCTAAGACCAGGCCCCTTTCCTCCTGAGCACCTCACTCCAACAGGGAGCTACCTCCTTCTCATAAAAACACCCCCTGGAAAGGCCATTCCTCCCAGGCCCCCATGGGGAACTTTGGGAACAGGGCCAGAAGGAACGTCAGCCACAGCACAGGCGATGCTCCCTGCCTAGGGCCTGTAGAGCCCACTCAGCCACGCCTGGCTCCCATGACCACCAGGGTCTGAGAAACACCAGACACTGCACAGCACCTCAGGAAGGTCTCCCCCAAGTGCCCTGAAGGTCCAAAAGGAACCAGCATTTTAGATCAGTGGGCCTTCCATGAGGGGAGACTGTTGGTCTTGCTTTAACATCTGCTGGGAAGAAAAATACAAAATTGGTCACCCTTGCATGTGGTAATACCTACTTATTTATTTATATTTTTCTGTTTCAAAATTTTTTTACAAGCATATGCCGCTTTGCAAATGTCAGGGGGGAGGCAGAGACAATAAATATTATCCACTAAGAACCTTCCGTCCCCAGCCTGGTCCTCTCAGGCATGGTGCTCACAGGCCACCCTCCACCTTCACTCCCCATGCTTGGTTCCATCAGCCATGTGCCCCCAGAGCCTGGCACGGGACAGGTCTCAGGGCAGACCCCAGCCACATGTGCCATGGAATGAATACCTGACTCTGGCTTAGAGCATCAGAAGCCCTAGTGTTCAAACCATCCAGACATGCCCTGTGTGGGCGGCAAGCCACCCAGGCGCCAAGGCAAGAGACCGAGGACACGAGCTGTTCCAGTATAATAAAATATAAAACAAGAATAGTTATACCAGATATAGATCTTAGAGATATATGAATATCATTAATCATTAGTTTGTAGTAATTACTCTTTATCCCAATATTATAATAATCCTCGCTCTACAATCATAACCTAGGAAAAACCAGGCCATACAGAGATAGGAGCTGAGGGGACATAGTGAGGTGTGACCAGAAGACAGGAGTGCGAGCCTTCTGTTATGCCCGGACGGGGCCAGCAAAAGGGCTCCTTGGTCTAGTGGTAACGCCAGCGTCTGGGAAGACGCCCGTTGCCGAGCGGACGGTGGTCTAGCGGTAGCGAAAAGTGTCAAGGAACAACACCCGCTACTTAGCAGACCGGGAAAGGGAGGCTCCCTTTCCCCGGGGGAATTTAGAGAAGACTCTGCTCCTCCACCTCTTGTGGAGGGCCTCACATTAGTCAGACCTGCCCGCAGTTATCCGGAGGCCTGTCTCCCTGTGATGCTGTGCTTCAGTGGTCACGCTCCTAGTCCGCCTTCATGTTCCATCCTGTACACCTGGCTCTGCCTTCTAGATAGCAGTAGTCAATTAGTGAAAGTACTAAAAGTCTCTGATATGCAGAAATAATGGCATAAGTTGTCTTTCTCTGTGTCTCCTCTCTCTGCCTCGGCTGCCAGGCAGGGAAGGGCCCCCTGTCCAGTGGACACGTGACCCACGTGACCTTACCTATCACTGGAGATGACTCACACTCTTTACCCTGCCCCTTTTGCTTTGTATCCAATAAATAACAGCACAGCCAGACATTCGGGGCCACTACTGGTCTCCGTGCATTGGTGGCAGTGGTCCCCCGGGCCCAGCTGTCTTTTATCTCTTTGTCTTGCGTCTTTATTTCTACACTCTCTCATCGCCGCACACAGGGAGAGACCCACCGACCCTGTGGGGCTGGTCCCTACACCCTGGAAGAAGGGCAGATGAACTCAGAGACAGCGCACAGGGTCACATAAAATGAGCCATCCCAAAACAAGCCCGTCTCTTTCCTAACAGTTATAATGTTGTTAGGACGGGGAAATGTGCAGAGAGGAGCAGAGCCAGCATCTTCCTGATTTTACAGGCAAGGAAACTGAGGCTCAGCCAGTAAATGGTGGGGCTAGGAGGTCAGACCCGATTCAGTGTTCACCAGAGTGCTGCCCAATGCCGCACAGGCCACAGTCAATGGGAGCTGTCTACATAGCATCATGGACCAAGAGCATTTTCCAAAGTCCAAAAAGAGGGAAGAAAAGCTCCAACTCAGCCAGGTGCAGTGGCTCACGCCTGTAATCCCAGCACTTTGGGAGGCTGGGGGTGGGGGGTGGGGGATCACGAGGTCAGGAGTTCGAGACCAGCCTGACCAACAAGGTGAAAACCTGTCTCTACCAAAAATACAAAAATTAGCCAGGCATGGTGGCACATGGCTGTAATCCCAGCTACTCGAGAGGCTGTGGGTGGCAAGCCACCTTGGTGCCAAGGCAAGAGACCGAGGGCACGAGCTGTTCCAGTATAATAAAATATATAAAACAACAAGAGTTATACTAGATCTAGATCATACATATGATTATATATGAATATCATTAATCATTAGTTTGTAGCAATTACTCTTTATTCCAATATTATAATAATCCTCGCTCTACAATCATAACCTAGGAAAAACCAGGCCATACAGAGATAGGAGCTGAAGAGACATAGTGAGAAGTGACCAGAAGACAAGAGTGAGAGCCTTCTGTTAAGCCCGGACAAGGCCACTAGAGGGCTCCTTGGTCTAGCGGTAACGCCAGCATCTGGGAAGAGGCCCGTTGCCAAGCGGACCCAACCGTGGTCTAGCGGTAGCGTCAGTGTCAAGGAAAAACACCCGCTACTTAGCATACCGGGAAAGGGAATCTCCCTTTCCCCGGGGGAGTTTAGAGAAGACTCTACTCCTCCACCTCTTGTGGACGGCCTGACATCAGTCAGGCCCACCCGCAGTTATCCGGAGGCCTAACCATCTCCCTGTGATGCTGTGCTTCAGTGGTCACGCTCCTAGTCCACTTTCATGTTCCACCCTGTACACCTGGCTCTGCCTTTTAGATAACAGTAGCAAAATTAGTGAAAGTACTAAAAGTCTCTGATATGCAGAAATAATGGCATAAGCTGTCTCTCTCTCTCTCTCTCCCACTCTCTGCCTCGGCTGCCAGGCAGGGAAGAGCCCACTGTCCAGTGGACACGTGACCCATGTGACCTTACCTATCATTGGAGATGGCTCACACTCCTTACCCTGCCCCTTTGTCTTGTATCCAATAAATATCAGCGCAGCCTGGCATTCAGGGCCACTACCGGTTTCCACGTCTTGGTGGTAGTGGTCCCCCGGGCCCAGCTGTCTTTTCTTTCATCTCTCTGTCTTGTGTCTTTATTTCTACAATCTCTCATCTCCGCACACAGGGAGAAAAACCTACCGACCCTGTGGGGCTGGACCCTACAGGAGGCTGAGGCAGGAGAATCACTTGGACCCAGGAGGCAGAGGCTGCAACGAGCCAAAATTGTGCCATTGCACTCCAGCCTGGGGAACAAGAGCGAACGCTGTCTCAAAAAAAAAAAAAAAATACAAAAAAACTCCAACTCACAGCCAGCCCACAGGAAGGGTCCCAGCCAGCTAAGCCCAGAGCCAAAGCAGCAAGAACAAACAACACAGTAATCCCCACTGACCAAGCACCACTGCATGCCTGACACTGTGCACATGACCAAACCTGATTCCAATCCTGTCACAGGTCAGGCTACAGAGGCAAAGTGGGGCTGACCCATCTCCTGACCAACTCTATGTCATTGCCTTACCACGAGCCCTGAGAACAGTCTAAACAGGCCCTGATGGGGCCAAGGGAAGAAGAGCACCTTGACTTCCCCTAAGGACAGGCCCTCAAATCCCAGGACAGAAAAACTCAATGCTGTACAGTCCAGGTGGCAGCAGGGCTAGAAGTCAAAGCAGAGATGGGGATCCCAGTGCTCCTCCTGCTAGTCTGGTTACCTGGAATAAATGTGCCTCAGCTTTCTAATGTATCTCATTAGGCTTATTCTAAGGACTAAAAGAAGAACAGGCCTTGAGCAGGGCTTGGCCTACAGTAAACACCATGGAACTGTTTTTAACGTTAAAGGCCAACTCTTCCCAAACTAACATATAAGCCTATTGCAACTTCATTTCAAGTCTGGGACAAAATCAGGATAAAGGCAATTTGGATGAGTAAATGAATAGACACAGGTAAGAGATGTTTTAAAAAGAAAGGCAACAAAGGTATATAAGGACTTTCTATCTATTACAAAGTCAGCGTAGTAAAAGAAAATGATGTATCAGTAAGAGTTATCACAGAAACAAAACCTATTTATGTAGGAATTCACGTCATTGAAACAATGTGATTACAAGTCACTAGGGAAAAAAGTCCTATTGCATAAATTCATAGGAGGGAATTTCCCATTTTACAAGGCTGAGGATTTCTGTAGAGAAACACTCCCAGGATGCAAAATAGTCTTGTGTAGCCAAATCAGTTCAATACCCAGGCAGTCCAACTGCTATGCTCCTCCTACTCACCAGCCTGAACCTGAAGCTCTCCTGCAATAGCCCCGAGGAAGTTCACAGCAGATATCAGCTCCCCACCCACCACTCTGCCCACCTACAGCCCCTTGGCATAGGCTGGGCCTTCCACCTGGAATGTCCATCCCATCCTGTACTGAGACTTCAAAGCCCACCTTCCTCCTCCCTCAAGGCAACACAGAGCCCTAGAGAACCACTTGCTTCTCTTATCAGAGAGCCTGTCACCCTACACTGGCAAGGCTAGCTGATCCCCTAGACCAATAGCAGGACGACTCTGACATAGGGCAGAGTTTGCCAGCCCTTTTCTTGTGAGCCCCTGGATTTTCACCTGCTTCATCAAAACCCTAGACCAGGCTGGGCCAGGATCCCAAGGGTGATCCAGGGTGGCCATACCATCAGGCTGGGGCAGCATACTCCTACCTGGCAGGAGGAAAAGTGGGCCACCATAATCACCCGTCCAGTGCCCATCCTCAGCCTGCAGCCCCACGTAAAATGTCATCCCGTTCAGAGCCCCCTCAAAGGCGGTGTGGGCTTTGGGCAAGTCCTTAAAGTAATTCTTCTGCAAAGAGATCGAAAAAAAAAAAAAGAGATAGCTGACGGGACTGTTGCCCGGCCAGAGGAACCCTCTTCACATACAGCCCAAGTCAAAACAGTGAATGTAAATTACTTTAAAAGTTTCAGCTGTTTCCATCAAAAGTCTGAAACTCTTTGATGAGAGCATCACACCTCAGCAAAGTAAAAGAACAGCTGCACATTTTCGTTGCTTTATTTGCCAGTCATGTATTCTTCACAACTTCTCCAAGATGTCTGGAATAAACCAGGCACCCAGACTGTAGGGTGGGGCACGGGTGCCGACCTGGGCCTGGGACTCGGGCCTCTCAAAGAGGGCCCAAGGGGCGGCACAGCCTTTCCCTCGGTGGCCGGGGCTCGGCAGGAGACCCTGTTTACACTGCAGACTCTGACGACCAAAATCTCTTACAATGCACACAACTAAGACAGTGGATCCAAACACTTTTTGTGAATAAAAACAAAGTTACAACTATCTTTGCAACTCTCCTATAAGTCAAAAATTATCTCAAAATAAGGTGCTAAAAAATAAAACATTAGGAGTCTCCTATGCGTGGTTTAGAGATGAAGGGGCTGAAGCGGAGGGGCCCGCGAACGCAGTTCCCGTGGGCGCTCGCCTTGGGGATGGGCGTCGCTGGCCGGGTCCTCCCACCCGCCTTTCTGAGAGAAAACGTGCTCCTCACGGCTCACCCCTCAGGGTCCCGAGCTCGCTGACGCTCCGCGGAAGCAACTTACGGTGTCCAGCCCCAGGGCGTAGGCTTCCAGGCCGGTCTGCTCGCGGCCGGCGCGCTCGTCCTGCAGGTAGGTCCACGTCTGCCGGCCCCTCTCGCAGTTGAGTCGCCAGCGGCCGAGGTCGGTGGCGGGCTCGGTCTTGTAGGGGCCCCCTCGGCGCCGCAGACACCTGAGGACCACCGGCCATCAGCGACCCAGGCCCCGCCCCAACGCCGGCCGCCGGCCCACTGCCCCAGTCGCGCTCTCCTCAGCACCTAGGACCACCCCGCATTCGTCAGGAGCCCGGGGCGAGGGGACTCACGTGCCCTCCGTCATTGCTGCTGCAGTGCTCTACGCCGCCCACTGCCAGCTGCCAGATGTCCGCACCCGGGACCTGCCGCCCAGCCCCGCCCCTCCCGCCCCTCCCGCCCCTCCCGCCCCTCCCGCGCGCACTACGCAGGCGCAGGCCTCGGCAGGCGCTCAGGCTTAGGTGGGCCGACGCCCACGCAACCAATCAGAGCGCCGCGAGCGTGACCCCGGGGTGTGCCAGGCGACCACAGTGGTGGAGCGCTTGGTGCCCCATGCGGCGTGGGGCGGGGCCTGAGGGAGCGGGGATGGTGGGTGAAGGCGACGGGACGGGGGAGGCGGGTGGGGCCTTATTGGCGGGGCATGAGGGGCGGGGCTGGTGGGTGGGGAGGTGGGGGCGGGGCTGGTGGGTGGGGAGGTGGGGGCGGGGCCTGGTGGGTGCGGGTGGGGGCGGGGCTGGTGGGTGGGGCCGAAGGGCGGGGGCGGGGCCTCTCGCGCGCCCTCTAGAGGCTTGCGTCCCGGGAGCCCGGCCTCGTGCGCCGCGCTTTGAGGTGAGCCTCTCTGAGAAATTTGTGAGGAGGGTCCAGCCGCGGGTCGGAAGGAAGGACGTGGGGAGCGAGGCTCGAGCGAGCGACAGCGAGTGCGAAGGTCGGGTGGCAGGGAATTGCTCTCGCGCTGCAGGATTTGCCCGGACGCCGGGGCCGGGGGTGGGGGCGGGAGGCCGCCCTGAGGTGAGGTGGGCGCGGGCCGTCGGCTCCAGTGCGAGACCAGGGGGAGGGCGGGGCGGAGCGGAGGAGCCGAGGGCGCCGCCGGCGTCCCTGGGAAGCTGAGCGCCGCGTAGCTTCGCCGGGGGGAGTGGGGTAGGCGCGGTGAGGCCGTGGGCCCCCACACCTGGCGGACCACAGGGGCCAGAAGCCCTGGAGCCCCGCCAGGGAAGGGCTGCGTCGCTGGCCAGGACCGAGCGCGGTAGAGCCTCAGCTGCTCACGGGGTCGCTGGAGTTGGGGGTGGCCCCAGGAGAAATTAAAGGTGAAAAGCCTTAGCAGCAGAGGGAAGAGGAAGATGGAGGCAGAGCGAGTGACCGAACTTGGAAGGGACAGCCGGGCGCAACAGGGCAGGGGGCGTCTGACTGTTGGAAACATGGCTGACGTCTGGAGGCTGCAGCCAGTGGTCCGTAAGTCAGGTCAAGGACCCACAGAAGACCCCAGCATGTCTTCACCTGGCCCACAGAAGCCCTGACATCCAGTTACAACTGCCCCAGCCTAGTGAGCATTTCGGCACCCACTCCTCAATTCCTACCCCCAGCCTAACTTCGAAGGGGCGGTGAGCCACAGCAAGCCGGAGGAGAAAGTTGGAAGAGAGAGTGGACAAAAGAATACCCACAGGCACCTTCCCCACAGTGGAATAGCGGGGTTTTAGACAATCAAGGATAATCACCTCTTCCTATCCCAGTTCAGAAACGGATGAAAAAGACACAGCAATAAGATGGGTGGGTATCAAAATATCAGCTTTGCCACAAATTAAAAACCTAGCTTGAAGGACAAGGCTTAAATCTGCAAGCAAGAGGGCAAGCTACTAAATCACCCGTTAAGTCAGACAAACATATCCCCCAGCCTCTAGGCCATGAAACTGCCTCACCAAGCACTATGCAATTGAGTGCCCACCAGAAGACACCCCTCCAGTCAACCCACAGACCCCAGAAAGAGTACCCAGAGGAGCCTGAGCACACTCCACCCTATCTGTTCTCTGAAATTCAATCAAATGAGTCACTCTACTTCTCTGGAAGCAGAAAGAGGCTGGAAGTTTTTCTCCAGGTAAGTTCCTCCATGTAGAAACATGAAGAATAGGGATAAGGGGCTTCAGCCTGGATGGAATCTCACACTGAACCTGGCAAAGCTAGGTGAGGGAAGAGGTTTCAACTGGATAAGAGTTTGAGTTTTGATATCTTAATGGACTGGACTTTTTATGAGTAAAATAATCCGCTCTTTTTAATGTCTGAAAGAAAAGAAAAAGCTGTAAACTACGTCTGAGAATTGACACAGTTAAGCTTCTAGGGGCAGTCATGAGAAAAAACACTGTTCCTATCTGCTTACATACTACTGCATCCAGCTTATTCATTAAGCCAGATACAGAAGGCTCTGAGGATTTTGGCCTCAACAACTGGGTATATGGTGGTGGTCATTTACTAAAATAGAGGTGTCTTTTATTTATTTAGTGACAGGATCTCAGTCTGTCACCCAGGTGGGAATGCAGTGGCACAATCATTAGCTCACTGCAGCCTCAAATTCCAGGGCTAAGTGATCTTCCGGGCTCAGCCTCCTGAATAGCTGGGACTACAGGCGTGTGCCACCACACCTGGCTGATTTTTTTAAAGTTTGGTAGAGACACGGGGTCTCGCTATGTTGCCCAGGATGGTCTCAAACTCCTGGCCACAAGGAATCCTCCCACTTCAGCCTCCCAAAGTGTTGGGATTATAGGCATGAGCCACCACACCTGGCCTAAAATAGGGAAAGTTTGATTGGAAAATTCAGATTAAAGTGGGGACAAGTTATACTAGAGATGCTTATTAGACATTCAAGTGAAATATTGAGTAGGCTGGCATTCAGGAGAGAACATAATGCTAGAGATAGGAATTTGGGAGTCATTTGCTTTCAGGTAGTATTTGAAATCATGAGATTGGACAAGATGAATTAGGAAATGCACATAAAAAAGAGAAGTTCTAGAATGAGCCCTGGGGCACCGACCTTTTCCAGTATAGAGGAATGGCCAGAGAGAGGAGGAAAACCAGAGGAATATGAAGTCATAATATAAGTGAAGACATGGTGATCTTTGCTGAGGCTTTGAAGGGATTGCAAAATGAAGACAGAATTTATTATTGGATGCAACAAAACAATGTATTGGTGACTGACAAGAGCTATCTAAAGAGACATGGGGGGAAAAGCCTAATGGCAGAATTTTGAAAGAAATTTTCAGTTAAACATGGCAGACTGAGCATAAACATTAACCTCCATTTCCTGCCCAAACCCTACTCACATAAAGTAATAAAAGACCAAAAAAACCCCACAAAGAATGGGAGAGGAGACACTAGTAAGCAAGAGAAGTCAACAAAATTATAGAGACTGGGAATGGATGGAGAAGTGATAACTGAGTTAGCTAGAGAAAGTTGAGACTTACGTTTGTGGGTGAAGCCAACAAGAGACCATTCCTGCCAGCAAATACCAGGAAGGTGCAGAAATTGGAATAACTGGTGGAAAATTTTTGTGAGGAACAGTATGACCATAGATCCCCTCTCCTACTTGGGTGGAGGAAGTCTCCAGTAGTTGAATCAGAGTAGGTGTTACCTCAGGCATGAGGCATAGCTGAGGACCACTGAAAGCAGACAGATTGAGTTAAAGTCTACACATGTGGGTCCAGGCTCACTTCTCCCACTTAGCCAGATAGCATGAGATAGTGGGAGGATCCCTCTGGAGCAGCTGGCCCACAAGAGTCCTGCAAACACTGGCAACTATGACCTAGTAGAAAAACAAACCTATTAGCTGGCAGACTGTACCCATTGACAGTTTCCAACAAGCACCATCATCAGCATGAGCCAGACATTTGGGGAAAACAGTGCAACATTACCTCCAGCCATGCAAGTGATCCATCTTGGACCACTGACCCAGTCAAGCCTTCAGATGACTATAACCTCAGCCAATACCTGACTGCAGCTGCATGAGAGATCCCAACAGAAAGCTGCCCAGCTGAATCCTCCTCAAATTTAAGCTACTATATTTGGGGTAATTTGTTCAATAGCAACAAAAAAACTAGAAAAAAGGACTACAAAGTGCCCAGCACAATAAATTGGGCAGGGGTTGGGGAGGGAATGGGGAGGCAACATATGAAGTAATGTCATTGAGAAATTTGAGAACACCAGGAATAGAGATGATCTCAAAAATTTCCAGCAACAAAAAAAGCAAAAACACAAAGGAACGATTTCCAATCTAAAATTCTATTCTCATTCAAATGATGAATCAAACGTAAGGATAGATAAGTCCAAAAAACAAAAAAAAACCATTTCTTTACTCTCACAACATCCTTTTGGCACCAGATGTAGAGAATTTCTCCCCACCGACAAGCAAGCATTCAGCTGTACAGCAGACACCAGCTGGGTATCCGCTTCAATCCTGCACCGTCTACCTGGAGATAGCAGCAGATCACACAAGTTGAGGACTCTGTGCCGCAAGACTGAGCCCCATGTCCAGTGTCAATCACAAGCCCCAGGTTGTTTTACCTGTCCTTCTGGGTTCCCAAGACCCCTTCCTTGGCTTTAATTTACAAGAGCAGTTCACAGAACTCAGGGAAACACATGTTTATTACAAGGCTATTTTAAAGGCTACAAATAGCCAGATGAAAAGATACACAGGATGAAGCCTAGAAGAGTCCCAAGAGCAGGAGCTTCTGTCTGCAAGGAGTTGCGAAGTGCCATTCTCTCAGCATGTGGACGTGTTCTTGTCCACCTTCCTGGAAGCCCCCACACATTTGGCTATCCACAAGCTCTCTGAACCCTGTCCTTTTGGGTTTTTAGGAGCCCTCATTACATAGGCATGATTGATTAAATCATTGGCCACTGGCGATCAACGTCACTTTCAGTCCCTCTCCCCCAACCTCTGGGAGTTTGGGGGGTGGGCTGAAAGTTTCAACCCCTCTAATCATGCCCTGGTCTTTCAGATGTCCAGTCCCTATCCTGAAGCTACATAGGAGCTGTCCGCCATCAGTCATCTTACTAGCATACAAAAAGACATCACTTTAGAGATCTCAAGGATTTTAGGAGTTGTATATCAGAAGGCAGAGACAAAGACCAGATATATATTTGATAATATTACAGTAGAAATAAAGACATTTTAGATATTCAAGCTCAGGAGGCTACTAAAGGACAGGCTCCATCAAGAAGAGAAAACCAAGCAAGAGGAAAATATGATTCAGAATCCAGGAAATGTCCAAGTTATGGCAAGAAGACAGGGGGTTCTCAGGAACATCTCGAAGAGAAAGTGGAGCATATTACCTGATGCACATGACTTTGTTGGGAAGAGCTTTACATTTAGGGCAGCGACTTTTGGGTAAAGTAGTGACAAGAGCATAGAAAACCAAGCAAATGAGAAAAACAATGTAATTAACTCCAGGAAAAATCAAAAGTTGTACCTAAAGGAAATGTAATCATAAACCAATAAAGGGCTCAACAGGAAATGGTAAACATACAGTTATACTAAACTGTGAATGCAGGTTTCAGCCAATATCAAACTGCTTAGGGAGACTAATAGGAGAGGAAATGTGGGTGTCGAGGGTGGGGGTGATAATATGTTGTGGGAAAGACAGTGTAAGAGAAGCTAACTCCTCTTCCATTGTAGGAAGTCAACAATGTCAAGTCAAGATTAAGAAATAGCATTATTTAAGTCTTTACATGAAGCTAATCACTAAAGATCCCTGAGTTGAGTAGTGTGTGTTTGGAGAAGCAGGGATTGATTTGGTGGAGGAAGAGGTTCTCTTCTTAGTGCTGTTGTTTTCTCAGTGAAATAAGGAGGACATGATCTAAGAATGTTGGAGGTTTGAAGAGAATGAGAAGACATGAAATAGAGTCTGGGGATGTAGGATTACAGTCAGGAGATGCTGAGTGCCAGTTTAAGATTGGTGGTCATACGCAACATCACCAAGTCTATTAATACCTCTTTCTGTATATGGCTCAAATTTTATCCCCTCTCTTCACACCAATTGCTAACAAACTCACGCTTATTCCCTTTGAATTTCACCTGGATGGCTGCAGCACCCACCTCTCAAGATTCCTGCCCTACATGCCATTCTTAAAAGAAAATGTGACCAGATCACTTCTCTGCCTAATCTTCAACAACGGGTTCTCACAGCTCTCAGAAGAAGGTGACAAGAATCTCTGACCTCACCCTGCTGGCCTGTTCCCCTCACCTGGCCACACAACCAAGCTGGTACCTCCACGCTTTCATCATGTCCTCTCAAGTACACTGTCTCCAGCTACACCCCTGCACTCCTCTCCGGGAATTCTGTTTCTCCTCTACCCAACCAGACCCTGTTCCATCCTCTGTTTTTTCCTTGCTACCAATTCAGGCCCACGCCTCATGCACATTCTCTGAGAATTATGTACATAAGTACCTGACTCTCCTGGATGTAAGCTGGGTGGGCTTAGCAGGCAGAGGCCCTGTGTCTTACTTTATCTCTGCATCACTGATGTCTGGCACATCAAGGACTGCAAGTTTGCTGAGAGAATGAATCGCCTTTTATACATGGAAATGTAAGCTCTAAACTGCCTCAGAGCATATGCTGGTGGGTGACAATCTGAGGAGGTCATGAATATAGGAGAATATTGAAGAGGTCACACAGGGGAAACAACTTTTCATTATGAAAAACTGGGAGACTGACATTTAAATGGTTTATCTGCATGATTAAATTAATCACATTTCCAACAGTGCATCAAGCATCTGAGAATAACATTATTTTGAGTAAAAACAGAAACTCTTCGGGAGAGACCCCCTCCCCACAGGTCAGGCTGCTCAAATGTCCACCATGTCTAGCAGCGCAGAGAGATGGAGCTCAGAGGCAACTTCCTCTTCCCTTGAACTCCGGATCAGCCTTTCCAGGTGCTTTAGTCGTTCGCCTAGACACGTTCCTGTCGCCTCTGACAGCTGCAGTTGCTCCCTCATCATGTCACTCTATTTGAATAAAAAAGAAACTGAACAGTTTTGGGATGTCAATAAACCACGACCTATCTCTGGGAAGGTACTAGATCTGGATCATGTTAGAAACCTCATCTGAGTAGTCATTTATTTTTACAGAGGGAAAAAAATTATCCTTTGTATATCCTTCCAGCCTCATTTAGCTCGTACATTCAGCTGGTATCTGTATATAGACTGTTTGCCTTTGTATTCTATCATGAACAATTTCCAGTGTCAGTCATTTTTCACCCAGGCTGGAACGCAGTGGTATGATCGGAGCTTACTGCAGCCTCAAACTCCTGGGCTCAAGTGATCCTACCAGCTCAGCCTCCTGAGTAGCTGGGACAACAGGCATGTAGCACCATGCCTGGCTAATTATGTACTGTAGAGATGAGATCTCTTTATGTTGCCCAGGCTGGACTCAAGCTCCTGGACTTAAGCGATCCTCCCTCATCAGCCTCCCAAAGTGCTGGGATTACAGGCATGAGCCACCACGCCCAGCCAGTCATTTTTAGAAAATATCATCGTCAAGGGCTGTGAATTATTCTATCACATGAATGTGTTATAATTGTTTAATCAGACTCCCATCTTCGGATATTTATTCTGTTTCGACTTTCATACAATAATGCTACAGTAAACATTTTTATACATTAATTTTTGGGGAATATCTGGTAGGTCAGAATTCTTTAGGTTAGAATTGGTAATTCAAAGGGTATGAATATTTTTAAAGTATTTGCCAAACTGATGAATGGAAACAGTACATCATTTTAATTTGCTTTTCTCCTCTATTGAAGGACTTCCTAAAGCCAGTCCAGGAGCACAGTTTTTACCTGTTCAGTGGCACATATCTGTGATTGAAACTCTGTTTTTGCATCTTTAACCACTGAAGGAAGAATGGTAAGGTAAAAAGACCTTAGGCTTTGGAGCCAGTTGGATCTGGCTTTGAAAAGCAACCTGACCACTCACTACTTGAACACTCTTGGGTGAGGCTCTTGACTTCTGGGAGCTTACCTTCCTCATTCATTAGTTTTCCTCAGGAAAAATTAATCCCAGAAGAGAGGTCTGGGTAATGCCAAAGCTCAGACAATATGTGCTCCAACAGAAGCTGCTGTCATCACCTTAATGCCCTTAATTACACATCAGCACACAGTTACAGGTCTTATTCAGTTCTTAAGAATATTTCAATTCTATTCTTCATTTATTTCGTAGGCAGAAACTCAAAATCAGTTGGGTCTCTTTAACAATGATATGGATAAAGTTTAAGAAAAGGTCTAATTTGAGCTAATAATTTGTCGGTCATCAAAACATCATAGGATAAATCGTGATATTACTTTTTTCCCCAGCCATTCTCTCAATCTTTAATTCTTATGTAAATGCCAAATGTATACGTTCTTCTCACCTGTGGGCTAGTAGTTACAGATGTTTTCATCACAGGTTCAATAGTGTGAGAAAGAGACACTAGAGTCTGAGGAAGATAGAGGGGAAGGGAAGTTAAATCCGTAAATGCTCCTGAGTCTTCAGACAACCATTGCTGAAGCTGATCTTCAAACCTGAAACAATATGTAATAAATTCAAAAATATTTGAGCATTAGGAAGTTAACTATTGTTCATTAATCTTCTATATATACTTAAAAACTTTTTAAGCCTTTGCTTTTTTAAAATTTTATATAATTTTTTTTTTTTTTTTTTTGAGACAGAGTCTCACTCTGTTGCCCAGGCTGGAGTGCAGTGGCATAATCTCGGGTCAGTGCAACCTCTGCCTCCCAGGTTCAAGTGATTCTCCTGCGTCAGCCTCCTGAGTAGCTGGGATTATAGGCAAGTGCCACTGTGCCCAGCTAATTTTTTGTACTTTTAGTAGAGATGGGGTTTCACCATATTGCCCAAGCTGGTCTTGAACTCCTGACCTCAGGTGATCCACCCACCTCGGCCTCCCAAAGTGCTGGGATTACAGGAGTGAGCCACTGTGCTTGGCCAATTTTATTATTATTTTTTTTTGACAAGGTCTCGCTCTGTTGGCCAGGCCGGAGTGCAGTGTTACAATCTTGGCTCACTGCAACCTTGACCTCCCAAGCTCAAATGATCTCACCTCAGCCTCCCAAATACCTGGGACTAGAGGCGCATGCCACCCAGCTAATTTTTGTATTTTTTTGTAGAAACGGGATTTTGCTGTATTGTCAGGCTAGTCTACAACTCCTGAACTCAAGTGATGTGCACACCTCAGCCTCCCAAAGTGCTGGGATTATAGGCATGAGTCACCACACCCAGCCTTAAGCCTTTGCTTTTTACTAAGAATATAACTAAGTTATGACATCAACTGAGAAGCAGAAATGTACTTATTAAAAATTTAACAACTTCCTATGATAAAGCTTAATTTAAAAAAAAAAACTAGGCTGGGCTCGGTGGCTCATGCCTGTAATCCCAACACTTTGGGAGGCCGAGGCGGGCAGATCACCTGAGGTCAGGAGTTCAAGATCAGCCTGATCAACATGGTGAAACCCCGTCTCTACTAAAAATACAAAAATTAGCCAGGCATGGTGACACGTGCCTGTAATCCCAGCTACTTGGGAGGCTGAGGCAGGAGAACTGCCTGAACCCGGGAGGCGGAGGTTGCAGTGAGCCAGATCACGCCATTGCACTCCAGCCAGGGCAACAAGAGCAAAACTCCATCTCAAAAAAAAAAAAAAAAAAATTAGAGAAACCACTTCCCTTTAATTTATAAATCCAATTCCAATTTATATTTAATGAAAAAGGTGGTATTAATCCAAAAACAACTGCTTCGATGTGTTACTTAACATTACTTGTAATTGTCTTGTTTGGCTTATCTTATTTAATTTACTTTGGTTTTATGCATCTATAATTAATTCTT